>NC_000010.11:32444259-32748541 GCF_000001405.40 Homo sapiens | reverse complement strand
TGTCTGGCTTTTAATAAAATATTACAATGCACACTAACAGACAAAAAAAAGTGAAGAGACAGAGCAAGCATTACAACTAAATTCAGATACAACAGGGATGTTGGAATTGTCAGACTAGCAGTTATGGCAAGGTTGCAGGATACAAGGTTAATGTACAAAAGTTACATGTTTTACTTTTTTTTTCTATTATTTTGGGTACATGTGGAGGTCTGTTAGATGGGTAAATTGTGTGTCATGGGAGTTAGGTGTACAAATTATTTTGTCACCCAGGTAGTGACAGCATATTACCTGATAGTTTTTTGATCCTCACCTCCACCCATTCTCCACCCTCAAGTAGGCCCCAGTGTCTATTGTTCCCTTCTTTGTGTTCATGTGAGCTCAATATTTAGCTCCCACTTATAAGTGAGAACATGTGGTATTTGGTTTTCTGTTCCTGCATTAATTTGCTTAGGATAATGGCTGCTAGCTCTGTCCATGTTGCTGCAAAGGACATGAGTTCATTCTTTTTATGGCTGCATAGTATTCTATGATATATATGTACCACATTTTCTTTATCCAGTCCACTGTTGATAGGCATCTTTGTTGACTCTATGTCTTTGCTATTGTCAATAGTGCTGTGATGAACATGCACATGCATGTGTCTTTATGGTAGGATGATTTATATTCCTTTGGCTATATAACCAGTAATGGGGTTCCTGGGTCAAATGGTAGCTCTGTTTTAAGTTCTTTGAGAACCAATCTCTAAACTGCTTCCCAGAGTGGCTGAACTAATTTACATTCCAACCAGCAGTGTATAAGCCTTCCCTTTTCTCTACAACCTCACTAGGATCTGTTATTTTTTACTTTTTAACAATGGCCATTCTGACTGGTATGAGATGGTATCTCATTGTGGTTTTGATTTGAATTTCTCTAATGATTAGAGATGTTAAGCATTTTTTTCATATGCTTGTTGGCCGCATGTATGTGTTCTTTTGAGAAGTGTCTGTTCATGTCTTTTGCTCATTTTTTAATGGGGTTGTTTTTTGCTTATTGATTTGAGTTCCATATAGATGCTGGATACTAGACCTTTGTTGGATGCATAGTTTGTGCATATTCTCTCCCATTCTATAGGTCGTCTCTTTACTCTGTTGATAGTTTCTTTTCTTGTGCAGAAGCTCCTTAATTTAATTAGATTCCACTTGTCAATTTTTGTTTCTGTTGCAATGCTTTTGGGGTCTTTGTTATGAAATCTTTGCCAGGGCATGTGTCCAGAAGGGTATTTCCTAGGTTTCCTTCTAGGGTTTTTATAGTTGTAGGTTTTACATTTAAGTCTTTGATCCATCTTGGGTTGATTTTTACATGTGGTGAAAGGAAGGGGGGTCCAGTTTCAATCTTCTTCCTATGGGGCCAGGCCTGTGGCTTTTCTCTCTGGCTCCTTGAGGTTAAACACCTGCTATGCTTGCAGGGGCCAAGGGTCTCCCAGTCTGCTGGCAACAACACTCAGTTGGGGGGGTCCCAGCAAAGTGCTTTGTCAGGGTGGTGGTGACAGCAGGGTCCCCGCATGTGCCAGTGGTGACTAGGCAGCAGCACTGTGGATTCTGCACATGTGCATGTGCTGGCTGTGACAAGGCAGCAGCGTAGTGCTGTCTGCAGATGCATGCCAGCAGTGGTGCTATGGGGTCCTTGTGTGCGCATGCCAGCTGTGGCCTGATGGCATCCATGTGCACATGCTGGCAAAGCATTGAGGGGAGGCTGAAAGTTAGTGCACAATGACAAAGTGGTGCGAGGAGGCTGCAGGTGGGTGCACATTGGTGGGGTCCCTCTGCAGAAGCTTTCTGATGGTTAGCCGAGGTCTGCTGGCAAAGGCACCATGGCAGTGGCCACCAGGAAGCACCACAATTGGGCATTGGAGACTGTGTTGCAAGTAGACATAGCCAGGCAGGGACCCCAGGAGAGGCTGGCAGACAGGGAGGTGTGCAGATAAGATTGGCCCGATGTCACTGACAGCTCTGCTTTGTCCAGGCCTGACAGTTAACAAAGGTCAAAGCCACCTAGAGAAGCATGGCAAGCCTTGAGGGATGGGCATCGCTGGCCATGCTCCACTGTAGTCATTGCAGCGCCAAACCCTCTGGAATCCACACAGCCTAGACCCCTGTCCCTGCCACCTCTTAAAGCAGCTCTCCCTGCCAGCTCAAATGTCTATCAGGACAATAGGGTCTTCTGCAGCTAGGATTCTGGAGGTGCATGGTGAGATAAGACCACTCCTCACCTATTTAACTCACCCTTTCCCCAAAAATTTCTGGGGACCAAGAATGAGTCCTGATGCTTGGCAGCCCTGTGCAGGCTTCCCAGCTTCCTACTCCTTCAGCCCAGGGTCTACATCCTCCCTCTGTCCACTCTCAATGCCGTCCTTCCAAAGACATGCTCAGAGTGTGTCCGTCTTCTTGATGGTCTGGTCTCTCAGTGGGAGATGCTCTTCCTGGCTGTGTCTGGTCAGCCATCTTGGGTCTTCTCCTCAAAAGTCAATTGTTTTCCTTTATGCCAACAATGAACAAGTGGAATTTGAAATGAAAAACACAACATCAATTACAACAGTGCCCCCCAAAATTGAATACTTAGGTATAAAGCTGACAAAATACATATAAAATCTATAGTAGAAACTACAAAACTCTGATAAAAGAAATCAAGGAAGAACTAAATAAATGGAGAGAGATTATATGCTTAGAGTTAGGATGACAATATTTTCAAGGTGTCAGTTCTTCCTTAGAGATTCAATGTAATCCCAGTCAAAACCCCAGCAAGTTATTTTGTGAATATTGACAAACTAATTCTAAAGTTTATATGAAGAGGCAAAATACCCAGAATGGCTGACATTATTTGGATATTTGTCCCCTCCAAAGGTCATGTAGAAACTGGATCACCAATATTGGAGGTCGTAGCTGGTGTTAGGTATTTAGGTCATGAGGGCAGGTCCCTCATGAATGTCTTGGTGCTGCCCTCATAGTAATAATCAGTGAGTTCTCATTCTACTAGTTTCCTATAGATCTGATTGTTAAAAAGAGCCTGACAACTCCTCCCATCTTTCTTTTGCTCCCTCACTTGTCATGTAATATGCTGGCTCTCCTTCCCCTTACATTGTGAGTTAAAGCTTCCTTAGACCCTAAGCAGATGCTGACACCATGCTTCTTGTATAGTCTGCAGAACTGTGAACCAAATAAACCTGTTTTCTTTATAAATTACCCATCCTCAGATATTCTTTTATAGCAATGCAAAGGAACTAAGACAAGAGACAACACAATGTTGAAGGAGAAGAACCAAGTTAGATGACTGACTTATTATTAGCTACAGTAGTCAAGACAGTGTGGTCTTATAAAAAGAATAGACAAATAGATCAATGGCACAGAACAGAGAGCCCAGAAGTGGATTCACACAAATATGGTCAACCAATTTTAATGAAGGAGCAAAGGCAATTTGATGACGAAAGGAATATCTTTTCAACAAATGATGCTGGAGTAACAAGTCATCCATATGCAATAAAATATAAATCTAGATACAGACCTTATACCCTTCACAAAAACTAACTCAAAATGTATCATAGGTCTAAATAGAAAATGGAAAACTATACAACTTCTAGAAGATAATATAAAAGATTCCTAGGTGACATTGGGCATGGAGATGACTTTATAGACAAAATATGAAAGACAATCAACAACAAAGAAGAAATTGATAAGCTGGACTTAATTAAAATTCAACAACTTCTGCTCTGTAAAAGACACTGTGAAAAGAATGAAAAGTCATGCCACAGGTTGGGAAATTACATTGCAAAAGACATATCTGATAAAAGACTGTTACCCAAAATATGCAAAGAACTCTTAAAACTCAATATTAAAACAAACATCCCATTTGAAAGATGGGCAAAATACCTTAACAGACATCTTACCAAAGAAGACATACAGATGATAAGTAAGCATATAAAGAGATGTGTAACATATATGTCATTAGGAAATTGTGCATTAGAACAACAATGAAACACAATTACACAGTTATTAGAATGGCCTAACTCCAAAAAACTGACATAAATGCAGAAAAGAACGTGTAGCAACAGGAATCTTCATTCATTGCTGGTGAGAATACAAAATGGCATAGCCACTCTGGAAGACACTTTGGCTGTTTCTTTTTTTTTTTTTTTCACCAGCAGGAAAATGTTTATTCATTTGCTTAATTTCTAACAGTATTTTCTGCTACGGTAATATTTTGTTAGTCTCTCTACATTTAATCTGGCATCTGATCAACTGGATTTATGCTTTTTAGCAAACAGTATAGGCTTTGAACATTTAGTATCTCATTCACATTATTTGTTCTTAGATTTAGTACCCATATAGCCTGTTGGCCATGTTATTTTCTTTTTTTTTTCTTTTTTTTTAAATTATACTTTAAGTTCTAGGATACATGTGCACAATGTGCAGGTTTGTTACATATGTATACATGTGCCATGTTGATGTGCTGCACCCATTAATTTGTCATTTACATTAGGTATATCTCCTAATGCTATCCCTCCCCCCTCCCCCCACCCCACAACAGGCCCCGGTGTGTGATGTTCCCCTTCCTGTGTCCAAGTGTTCTCATTATTGAATTCCCAGCTATGAGTGAGAATATGCGGTGTTTGGTTTTTTGTCCTTGCGATGGCTTGCTGAGAATGATGGTTTCCAGCTTCATCCATGTCCCTACAAAGGACATGAACTCATCCTTTTTATGGTTGCATAGTATTCCATGGTGTATATGTGCCACATTTTCTTAATCCAGTCTATCACTGATGGACATTTGGGTTGGTTCCAAGTCTTTGCTATTGTGAATAGTGCCGCAATAAACATACGTGTGCATGTGTCTTTATAGCAGTATCATTTATAATCCTTTGGGTATATACCCAGTAATGGGATGGCTGGGTCAAATGGTATTTCTAGTTCTAGATCCTTGAGGAATCACCACACTGTCTTCCACAATGGACTAAAGACTTAAATCTTAGACCTAAAACCATAAAAACCCTAGAAGAAAACCTAGGCAATACCGTTGAGGACATAGGCATGGGCAAGGACTTCATGTCTAAAACACCAAAGGCAATGGCAGCAAAAGCCAAAATTGACAAATGGGATCTAATTAAACTAAAGAGCTTCTGCACAGCAAAAGAAACTACCATCAGAGTGAACAGGTAACCTACAGAATGGGAGAACATTTTTGCAATCTACTCATCTGACAAAGGGCTAATATCCAGAATCTATAAATAACTCAAACAAATTTACAAGAAAAAAACAAACAACCCCATCAAAAAGTGGCTGTTTCTTAAAAACTAAACCTATTCTTGTCATATAATCCAGCAATTGCACTACTTGATATTTACCCAAATGAATTGAAAACATGTCCATATACAAACCTGCACATGGATGTTTACAGCAGCTTTATTCATAATTGCCACAACTTGGGGAAAAAACCCATAACATTCTTCAGTAGGTAAATAGATACATTAACTGTGGTATATCCAGAGTATTCAGCACTACTCAGGGCTAAAAGGAAATTAGCCACTAGGCCACTGAAGAAATGGAGGAACCTTAAAATGTATATTACTAAGTTGAAATAAGCCAATCTGAATTTTATCTCTCAACTTTATATGTCAAAACTCTAATCTCTAATGTGACTGTATTTGGACATATGCCCTCACGGAGATAATTAAGGTAAAATGAGATTGTAAGAGTGGACTCCTAATCTTACAGAATTGGTGGCCTTAAAAGAAAGACTACATGAAGGTACAGTGAGAAGGTGGCTATCTACAACTAAGGAGAGCCCTTCTTCACCAGTCAGCACATTGATCTTGGACTTCCCAACCTTCAGAACTGTGAGAAAATAAGTTCTGTTGTTTCAGCTACCTAGTCTATGGTATTTTGTTATGGCAGCCTGAGCAGACAAAGACTGCTACATACTGTATGATTCCAACTGTTAGACATTCTGAAAAAAGCAAAATCATGGACACAACAAAAAGGTCAGTGGTTGTGAGGAGTTAGGGGTAAGGGAGAAATAAATAGGGAGAGCACAAAAGATGTTTAGGGCAGTGAAACTATTCTGTACGATACTATAATGATCATATACATGTCATCACACATTTGTCAAAACCCAGAATACGAACACCAACAGTGAACCCTAAAGTAAACTATGGACTTTGGGTGATAATGTGGTGTCAGTGTAGGTTCATTGGTTATAACAAATGTTTTACTCTGGTGCAGGATGCTGACAGTGGGGAGTCTGTGTGGGGGGAATGGCAGAAGGCACAGAGGAAATCTGTACTTTCTGCTCAATTTTGCTGTGAACTGAACCTAAAACTGCTCTAAAAATAAATTTTATAAAAATGGAATATTTAATCTCAAAGATATTAGTATTTACAGTAAATATAAATGCATCTAAATTCTAGTTAAAAGGAAAAGATGTTCACATTGGAACAAAAAATTCTAACTATATGTTGTTCATGAGAACTGGCCTTATAAGAATACATCACATAAATACCAACATAAAGTAAGTTGGTGTAGATACATTAATATCAGATAAAATAGGCCTTTAGGCAAAAAACCTAACTAGAAATGAGAAGGAACCTTTCATAAATACAAAAGTTCAGTTCATAGGAAGATATAACAAATTTAAATGTGTAACGTGTATGTTGAAATAGGAGAACATCAAAAGAGGTAAAGCAAATATTGACAAAATCACACAGAGTAATAGAGAAATTCACACTCACAATGGGAGAATTGAACATATTCTTTCAATAATTGATGAAACAAACATTACCAGTTGTAAGAGAAATGGAAGATTTAAATAATACAATTAACGAATCTCACTAACACATTTTTTTCATGTTTGGGAGGAAATACAGTTGATACTTGAACAACATGAGTTTGAACTGTGTGGGTCCACTCATACGTGGCTTTTTTTCCAACCAAATATAGATTACAAATACAGTATTTGTGGGATGCAAAACCCAACATATACAGAGGACCCACTTTTCATATACAAGTTCCACAGGGCCAACTACAGGACTTGACTATGTGCAGATTTTGGCATATGTGTATGAAGGGGTGGTCCTGGAACTAATCCCTATGTATACCAAGGAATGACTGTATACAGACTCATGAACCAAAGAACAAACTTCTCCTAATTTTAATTGAAAAGATTCCAGCAATGTGCATAATTTTAATATGTACTGAAAAGACTATCTGTTTTGGTGGCTCCAAGTTCTTAGTTTGAGATTGAGTTTTAATAAAGGATTAAAACTTTATCTTTGAACAAAAGAGTTTCAGTAAGTAAAGCCATTCTGTAAGTTGCAAGAAGAGATGTTTTTAATCTACTACCTAGGAAAAAATAATTTATTGAGAAATCTCAGAATTTCAAAATAAATGTCAATATTAAGCAGTATCTCTCTCATTTTTACAACTTATTAGCAAATAATCACATTTATGTGCTATGAACTATTAAAGTAAGATTATATAGTATAAAATAATAATTAGGAGAATATTTTTCATTAATGCAGGTAGACACATTCTTATTACTTCTAGACATACACAAACATTTAAAACATTTAATATTATCTTCAGTTTTGTATGGAAAGCCATCATTCAAAAAAATTTAAAACTCATAAGCATTATAATTAAGAAAGAAAAAGAAATGATAAAAAAGGTTACTTTAAAAGAAACAATAAATGTGAGAGAAGTAAAAATAAGTAAGATAGGAAAAAATAGAAAACACAAAGATAAAGTTTTAATCCTTTATTAAAACTCAATCTCAAACTAAGAACTTGGAGCCACCAAAACAGATAGTCTTTTCAGTACATATTAAAATTATGCACACTGCTGGAATCTTTTCAATTAAAATTAGGAGAAGTTTGTTCTTTGGTTCATGAGTCTGTATACAGTCATTCCTTGGTATACATAGGGATTAGTTCCAGGACCACCCCTTCACACACATATGCCAAAATCTGCACATAGTCAAGTCCTGTAGTTGGCCCTGTGGAACTTGTATATGAAAAGTGGGTCCTCTGTATATGTTGGGTTTTGCATCTCACAAATACTGTATTTTTAATCTATATTTGGTTGGAAAAAAAGCCACATATGAGTGGACCCACACAGTTCAAACTCATGTTGTTCAAGTATCAACTGTATTTCCTCCCAAAAATGAAACATGTAAATCCAAATATATCATTAATTATATTAAAGAAATCATTTTAAATCACATTCAGACCTTTCTGTTCTTAACAAAAGACTACACTCAAGGGAAACTATTTTATCAGAGAGAATAACTAACACAGGCTTTATTATACAATATAGACCTGGGGGAAAGGAAATATCCAACTCCAGCTGCTTTCTACCCTTCAACACGGGGAAGGGAAATACCCAGTTTCAGCCCCCTATAAACCTCCTGTTCACCTAAGGGCCTGGGATGTTGGGGAGAAAAACATAGGAGTCTCCTGTGAAGTGTAGACTCCTGAGGCACAGGCTTACTAAAAGACTGAGACCTAATTAGAGGATTATAGATTGCTTCTCCTCCCATGACATCTTATCACCACATTAATCAGGCTCCTGCATAATAATAGCAGATTACAGCTAAAATATCTGCAAGCCTCAGACCCTATCTAAAAGGAAACCAGAAACAGCAGTTTGGTGGGGGGGGGCAAAAATAATGACAATATTTTAGAAAATTTTATCATTTGATACCTACAATTTCAGCAAACAGAAAACACAGCCTAACTGCTAGCTAGGTAACCATATTACACTAAATGCTTACATACCTCAGTTCCTATTGTCCAATACATTATGTCTAGATTTCAACAACAACAACAAAAATTTCAAGTCATGCTAAAAGTAAAAAAAAAAAACATAGTCTGAAGAGACAGTTTAAGCATGAGCATCAAACTCAGATATGGCAGAATTTTTCAAATTATCATACCAGAAATTTAAAATAATTATGTCTAAGATATTAAGACCACTGATAGAAAAAGTGGACAACACGTAATAAGAAATAGATAATGTAAGCAGGAAGCTAGAAAAACTAAGAAAAAAAGGAAATGTTAGAAATAAAAAACATTGTAACAGAAATTAAGAATGCCTTTGATGTTCTTATCAGTATACTGGACACAGTCAAAAAAGAATAAGTGAGCTTGAAAACGTGTCATTAGAAACTTCTAAAATTGAAAAGAGAAAAAATAATAAAATAAACAGAATACCGAGATCTTTGGGAAAATTACAAAAGGTATAATACGTACATAATGAGAGTAACAGAAGGAGAAAAAGCAAACAAGAAAAGAGAAATATTTGAAATAATAATGGCTAAGAATTTTCGAAAATTAATGGTAGACATCAAACCACAGATCCTAGATGCTCAGAGAACATAAAAAATGGTCAATAGCAAAAATGTCTAGACCTAATCATATGCTATACTCAAACTACAGAAAATCAAAGACAAAAAGAAAATCTTGAGAGATAAAAGAGGTGGGAAAAACTTAAAATATTTAAAATATTCAAGTGTTGAAGAAAAATACAACCAACTAGAACCTGTATCCAGACAAATAATCCTTCAAAACTTAAAGAGATATAAAAACATTCTCAGAAAAAAAATGACATAATTTGTTGCCAGTATCCTTGCATTGGAAGAAAATATTTTTAAACATTCTTCAGAGAGAAGGAATATAATACATGTCAGAAACACAGGTCTACATAAAGAGAGAAAAAATATTAGACAAGGAATAAAAGTAAAAAACTCCAGGAATGGTGGCTCTTGCCTGTAGTCCCAGCATTTTGGGAGGCTAAAGCAGATGGATTGCTTGAGCTCAGGAGTTCAAGATCAGCCTGGGCAACATGGCAAAGACCTAGCTCTACAAAAAATACAAAAATTAGCCAGGCATGGTGGCATGTGCCTGTAGTCCCAGGTACTTGGAGGCTGAGGTGGGAAGATCACTTGAGCCCAGGAGGTCGAGGCTGTAGTGAACTGTGATCACACCATGACACTCTAGACTAGGCAACAAAGCAAGGCCCTGTCAAAAAAAAAAAAAAAAAAAAAGTGAAAGAAACCATTTTATATTCTTTTCTCTTAATTGATCTAACAGATACAGACTATTCATAATAATAATGGTAACAATGTTCTCCATGATTATAGCTTATATATAAGTGAAATAAATGACAGGAATCTTATGAGTGACAAAAGGCAGGAAATGGGAATTCTCTGAAATCAGAATACCTGCATTATCCATGAAGCGATATAGTGATATTTAAAAGTGGACTTGGATATTCTATAAATGTACATTGTAAATTCTAAGGAAACCACTATACAAAATTTTAGGAAATGTAATTGATATCCTGAGAAAGGAGAAGATATAGGATCATATTAAATATGTAATTAAAGCCAGAGAAGGCAGGAAAGGTGTGGAAGGTGAAAAAGAAACAAAGAACTAGGACAATAAAGAGAAAATAGCTACAAATACGGTTGATATTGAAGCAAATATGTCAATAATCACTTTAAATGTGAATGGTCTAAATATATCAATTCAAAGACAGAGGCTGTCAGAGTAGGTGAATAAAAAAATCTGACTATATGGTGTCTACCAGAAATTGGCTTTAAATATATGAAAATGATAAGATTAAAAGTAAAGTAACAGAGTAAGATATACCATGCTAACTAATCAAAGCAAAGCTGGAGAAACTATATTAATTTGAGACAATGTGGACTTCAGAGCAAGAAAAATGATCAGAGACATGGAGGGACATTACACAGTGATAAAAAGGTCATTATTCAAGAAAACATAGTAATACTTAATAAGTATGCACCTAACAACAGAGCAATAAAATTCATGAGGCAAAAACAGATGGGACTGCAAAGAAAACAGACAAATTCATTATATTTGCAGCCTTCAGTACCATCTAACTGTAATTCACAGCTACAACAGGCTGAAAATCACTAAGAATATAGTTGAACTTAGCACATCACCAATCAACTGGATCTAATTGATGCTTATAGATTATTCCATTCAAAAACAGCAGAATACACATTCTTCTCAAGCTTCTGTGGAACACTCAGTAAGACAGATCTTATTCTGGGCTATAAGACAAACCTTAACAAATTTAAAAGAACAAAAGTCACACAAAGTACAGTGTCATTCCATAATACATTTAAACTATATTACCCTAATACCAAAAGTAGATAAAGGTACTATAAGAAAAAAACTACAAACCAACATCTCTCATGAATAAAGATGCAAAAATCCTCAACAAATTGTTAGCAAATTGAATTCAACAATGTATAAAAAGAATTATATGCCACAACCAAATGGGGTTTATCCCAGGTACGCAACATTCATGCAATATTCAAAAATCAATTAATGTAATCCACCACATCAACAGACTAAAGAAAAAATTATATGATCAATAAGAAATGAAGAAACATCATTTGGCAAAATCTAAAGCCCATTTATGATTTTTAAAAACTATCAGCAAACTAAGAATAGTAGGAAACTTCCTCAATTTCATAAAGAATATCTGCAAAAAACAAATACCTAATATCTTAATCATGAGAAAACAGATGCTTTTTTTTCTAAGATAAGGAATAAATCAAGGACATCATTTCTCACCACATGTATTCTACATTGTACTGGAAGTCCTAACTAATGCAGTAAGACAAGAAAAGAGAATAAAATAAATATAAAATGAGTAAAATTGTTTTTGCTCAACAACAGCAAAAATCTAATAGGTCATTATAGCAAGGTTGCTAGATACAAGGTTAATATACAAAAGTCAACTGCTTTCCTATATACCAGCAAAGAACAAGTGATATTTCAAATTAAACACACAATACTATTCACATTATCACCAAAAAAATGAGGTAATTATAAACCTAACAAAATATGTATAAGAGATATATAAAGAAAACTAAACAATGAGAACACATGGACACAGGAAGGGGAACATCACACTCTGGGGACTGTTGTGGGGTGGGGGGAGCGGGGAGGGATAGCATTGGGAGATATACCTAATGCTAGATGACGAGTTAGTGGGGGCAGCGCACCAGCATGTCACATGTATACATATGTAACTAACCTGCACATTGTGCACATGTACCCTAAAACTTAAAGTATAATAATAAACTAAAATTAAAAAAATATTAACCACAAAAAAAGGAAAACTAAAATACTCTGATTAAGGAAATCAAAGAATAAACAGATCTAAGATCTAAATGGAGCAATAGTCCATGTTAAAGAATAGGAAGTCTCAATATTGTTTGTTGTCAGTTCTTTTCAACTCAGTTCAATGCAATCGCAATCAAAATTCCCACAAGCCATTCTGTGGGAATCAAAATGGAATCAACAAACTGATTCTAATTTGAATGGAAAGGCAAAAGACCCAGAATAGTTAACACAATATTAAAGGAAAACAAAATCAAAGGATTGACACTACCCAACTTTAAAAATTCCTGTAGCCCTACAGAAATCAAGACAGTATGCTATTGATGAAACAATAGACAAATAGAGCAATTGGAACAGAAGAGAGATAAAAAGAATCACATAAATATAGTCAACAAATTTTTACAAAGAAGCAAAGGAAATTCAATAAAGGACTCTTTTCAACAAGTGATGTTGGAATAACTAGTCATCCACATGTAAACAAAAAATGAATATAACCAAAGACCTTACACCTTACCAAAAATGAACTCATAGTGGATCATAGATCTAAATATAAAATGCAAAAACTATAAAATTCCTAGAAGACACAAAGGAACAAGTGTAGGTGGCCTTAAATTTGGTGATGGCATTTTAGATACAACAAAAGCACAATCCATGAATAAAAAATTGATAAGTTGTACTTACTAAAATAAAAACATTCTGCTCTGTGAAAGACACTGTTAAGAAAATGAAAATAAAAGCCACCTGCAGGAAGAAAATATTTAGAAAACACATACCTGACACAATAAGAAAAAGAAATAAACCTATTACAACATGGGCAACAGAGCTGAAGAGATACCAAAAAAGATATATAGATGGCAAATAAACATAAAAAGATGTTCAACATATATGTCATTAAGGAATTGTAAATTAAATCAACAATGAGATGCCACTACATTGAGATGCCACTACATGCCACTACAAACCTATCAGAATGGCTAAAATCCAAAGCATTAAAAACACAAAAACTGGCAAGGAACATGGGAACTCTCACTCATTGCTGGTAGGAATGCAAAACACTACAGCAACTTTGAAGACAGTTTAACAATTTCTTACAAAGTTAAATATAGTATTACTATATGATACAGCAATCGTGCTCCTTGGTATTTACCTGTGTAAAAAATATATGTCCCTACAAAAGTTATGCAGTATCCAACAGGTACTAAGTTGTTTTGCACCTAATTAATGAAGAAATCGTTGGACTCTTTTTGTGGTTTAGGAGTATTGTGAAAAAATTACTGAAATCATATAGCACCAAGAGCCTCTGTCTAAACTGTTTACAAAAGACTGTGTAAATACTTATCACAAGAAAGCATATGTAGCTGTACAAATATCAGATAAACATTAAAACAAAATGCATTTTTTAAAATTTATTTTATTTTATTTTATTTTAACTTATTTTATTTAATTTTATTTGTTTTTTGGAGATGAAGCCTCACTCTGTCACCCAGGCTGGAGCGCAGTGGCACAATCTCAGCTCACTGCAACTTCCCACCTCCCTGGTTCAAGCAATTCTCCTGCCTCACCCTCCCAAGTAGCTGGGATTACAGGTGCATGCCACCACACCTGGCTAATTTTTTGTCTATTTTAATGGAGACGGGGTTTTACCATATTGCCCAGGCTGGTCTCGAACTCCTGAGCTCAGGCAATCTGCCCGCCTCAGCCTCCCAAAGTGCTAGGATTACAGGCATGAGCCACTGCGCCCAGCCTATTTATTTATTTTTAACTTTCATTTTAGGTTCGGGGGTATCTGTGAATGTTTGTTACATAGGTAAACTCATGTCATGGAGGTTTGTTGTACAGATTTTTCATCACCCAGGTATTAAGCCCAATACCCAATAGTTACCTTTTCTGCTCCTCTCCCTTCTCTCACCCTCCACCCTCAAGTAGACCCCAGTGTTTTTTGTTCCCTTTGTGTTCATGAGTTCTCATCATTTAACTCCTACTTATAAGTGAGAACATGCAGTATTTGGTTTTCTGTTCCTGCATTAGTTTGCTAAGTATAATGGCCTCCAGCTCCATCCATGTTCCTGCAAAGGACATGATCTTGTCCTGTTTTATGGCTGCATAGTAATCATAGTATTCCATGGTGTATATGTACCACATTTTCTTTATACAGATAATTTGTCATTGATGGGCATTTAGGCTGATTCCGTATCTTTGCTGTTGTGAATAGTGCTGCGATGAACATTCACATGCATGTATGTTTATGGTAGAATAATTTATATTCCTCTGGGTATATACCCAGTAATAGGATTGCTGTGTTGAATGGTAGTTCTGCTTTTAGCTCTCTGAAGAATCACCATACTGTTTTCCATAATGGTTGAACGAATTTACACTCCCACCAACAGTGTGTAAGTGTTCTCTTTTCTCCACAACTTCACCAACATGTGTTGTTTTTGACTTTTAAATAATAGCCATTCTGACTAGTGTGAGATGGTATCTCACTATGGTTTTGATTTGTATAAAACAAAATGCATTTTCAGAGATTAACAGACAGTCTCCATTTACCAGATAAAAAGTATAAATTTGCACACAATAAATAAATATTTTCCAAATATATAAACCAATTTGACAGAACTACCATAAGGCATAGAGAAATCCATAATCACAGTGGGAGAAATTAACATACTTATCTTAGTAATATAGAATAAACAGAAAAACCTCAATGAAAAAAGTAAGAACTGAACAGAATAAACATATTTGATCTAATAGATGTATACAAAAGACATATTGACTAAACAGTCACAAAGCTAAGAACAAAATTCTTCAGCTTACTCTAATTAAAAATACATCAATGATATTGAAAATTATCATACTACTTAGTGTTTCCATTTTGATAGCTCCAAATATCTTAGCTGGAGATTTGCTTTTTGAAAATGCAAATTTATCCTCAATTAAAAAAATCTCCATCTAATACCTCTTCCATTTTCTGAGCTACAAAAAAGATGCTTTTAATCCATTAAATAAACAAATTTATCAAAAAACCTCTGTAATTCAAAATACATATCAATTATCCAGCAATATTTTCTCTCATGTTTTGAAATAATATAACCAACTGCCACGTTGTTGAGACAGTGAGTTATAGACTGAGTATGTAAAGTGTAAAAATATAGGAGAACTTTTCAAGAAAATGGTTTCATAAGGTATTCATATTTTATAATCAAGTTAAATTTTTATAACAGATATGAGTAATAAAAAAGATAAAAACATATTAAAAATAAACTTTAAAAGGAGATTCAAAAACAGATCAGGCAAGAAATACAGAAAACATAAGTGATGGTATATTAACCCACAAAATATCAGTACTTACATTAAATATGAATGTGTTAAATGTTATGTTTTCAATTCAAAGTTTGCCACATTGGATTTAAAAAAGAACTATAATACATTTAACACATATAATACAGCTAAGCTATAATAATACAAAAAGGTTGAAAGTACAATGGTGAAAAATTGTGTTCTGCAAATACTAATATTAAAAAGATGCTATGTTAATATCTGACAGATTAATGGCAAAGAGAGTTGCTACAAAATGTCCATCATATCGTGGGTAATGCTACATGTAGGTGGGGGAAGGTGGTATATGAGAAATCTCTATCTTTCTTTCTACTGTGAACATAAGAATGCTCTAAAAATACAGTCTATTTTAAAAAATGTCCATCATAAAGACAAGAGTTTCAGCATTCTTAAGAAAATTTAACAATTTAAAATGTGTATGTATATAAAAAAAAGCTTTAGAAACATAGAACAAAAATTGGCAGAACTACAAAGAGATAGAGAAATAAGTAATCACAGTAGCAGAATTTAAAATACCTTTCTCATAAATGATAAAATAAACAGAACCTCAGTGAAGTTAAGAACACATGAAAAATATGATTAATCAACGACAATGGAGAATATACATGAATATACGCACATACATGTTTTCTTTATACACATGACATGTAAAAATCATATTTGTGATTGAACATATAAACTAAGGAGAGAACTTTAAAGTCATTACACAATATTCTTAATGATTATAATTACTTTGAAGTCTCACTTTTCTGCAAGTATTAAGTTTTGTAATATGAGATGGGCTTTTTAAAATTAAAACTTTATTTCATGTGAAAGATTTTCATCTGCTATTTCATCCATTTTCTCAGTTGCAAAAAGAAAGGCTTTTAACCCAATAAAAAGTGAAAAAAACTTTACTGTGAAGTCTCTGAATTATTAATATATAGAAAGGACCATTCAAAGTTTCCTATCAGTTTTGTTTTGTTTTTTTTGAGACGGAGTCTAACTCTGTTGCCCAGGCTGGAGTGCAGTGGCCGATTCAGCTCACTGCAACCTGCGCTTCACGGATTCAAGCAATTCTCCTGTCTCAGCCTCCCAAGTAGCCGGGACTACAGGCGCGTGCCACCATGCGCCGCTAATTTTTTGTATTTTTAGTAGATACGAGGTTTCATCGTGTTAGCCAGGATGGTCTCGATCTCCTGAACTTGTGATCAGCCCGCCTTGGCTTCCCAAAGTGCTGGGATTACAGGCTTGAGTCACCGTGCCCAGCCCTATCAGTTTTATAAGACTTTACACTAGACAATACAACTTAAATAAATGTCACACAATAAAACCTCTGACACATTTTCAAAATGAATCATGAAGGTAAATGCAAAAACCACCAGAGTACTTTTCCTGAAAGTATGTGGAGGCACTCTTATTACTTCATACATACACTTAGAAAGTTGAAATTAGACTTTATTTTACTAAGTGTATTCACATTTTAAAAAGTTTTTATAACATATGTGACACATTGAATAATTCAACTGATTAAAAGTAATTCCAAAATAAGGAAAGAAATAAAATAGAAAGTAATCTGAATCAGACAAAAAAAAACTGAAAAGCACCCTCACCCAAAATATTTAAATCCAAATATATCAGTAAGTACAATAATTGTAAATGGATTACATATTTTACATATTCTAGGAATAGACAAAGACAGACACATTGAACTGATAAACAATTCAACTATAAGTTCTTTATTAGAGATATGACTTAAAAAAATGCAAACACTAACCAAAATCACTCTGTAGTAATTATGTCAATGTCAGACAAAATAGACTTTTAGTCAAAAGACCTTACTAGAGACTGAGATGATCCCTTTCATAAAAATAAAAGGCAGAGTTCAAAGGAAAATCTAACTTTTTATTTGTATACATCTAATAACATAGACAGTATAAGGAAAATGGACAGTACTATAAGAAGAAATAGGTAAATCCACATAGTGGGATAATTTAATATACATCTCAATAATTGATAGAATAATCAAGATTCAAGGAAATCAAGAAATAAATGTAAATGACACAATAAAAAATGAGTTCAGTGGATGTCTGTAACATTGTAGCAGAATACATATCCATGAACAAAATTATGCTTAATTAAAATTTAACTAATGTAATTAAAAATAATTTAATAATATTATTTCCATATTTACTATGGAATCTCTTCTTTCTAGCAGCTCTAGTTGCAGGCAAAAGATTTTCATCTAATACCTCATCTTTTTCTGGACTACAAGAAGGAAGGCTCTTAAAAGCACTAGAGAACTGTATCTATGGTGGAACCTCCAGATTCACAATATATGTTAATTACTATATGTTAATGATATAAGCAAATCAGTGTCTAGTTAAAATATAAGCATATAAATACATCTTTTACTTGTGCATATAAAAGCTGTTCTGTTAATTTTTATATACATGGGTATTAAATATATTTTATTTGTAAACATTATTATTTTATTTACTACTATAAACATTATTACAAATACTTGTATATTTAAAATTTTTCCTTATTTTTTCTTATTATATTCACACTTTAGGTAAAGCTTAAAATTTTTGGTACCAAATATTGCTAAGGAAAAATGTATGATGATAAAAAATGGAGTAGACAGTGAAAGAAACATACCATGTAGGAGAAATAGGAGAAGCCAAGAAAAAAATGATATAATTGCACCTAAAAAATCAATAATTAGATTATATATGGTTATAAGAGATAATTAAAAGAAAAAATATCAGACTGAATATGAGCATATACCAAACATCACATGTTCTCTCTTATAAATGGGAGTTGAACAATGAGAACATATGGACATGTGGGGGACAACCTACACAGTGGCCTGTCTGGAGTGGGGGGCAAGAGGAGGGGCAGCATCAGGAAGAACAGCTAATGGGTGCTGGGCTTAATACCTGGATGATGGGTTGATCTGTGCAGCAAACCACAATGGCACACATTTACCTATGTAACAAACCTGCACACCCTGGACATGTACCCCAGAACTTAAAATTCAAGCTGATTTTAAAAAGAGTATATACAATTGTAAGTTTCTTACGATAGACATAGCAAAATCACAAAGAAACAAAGAAGTTAAACATAATATGATGAAAAAAACGTATCAAGCAAATACCAACTGGAAGAAAGTTTGTGGAGCCATAATAACAGATAAAGTAGTTATTAAGGAAAACAACAAAAATTATGAAAATGATGAAGTGAATCCTTTTATAAGGAAAAAACTGTTTTTTGAAGAATATAAAGTTTTGAAGAATATAAATTTAAAGTTTACTTGCACACACACACAAAAATAGAGCATTATAAGATATAAAGCAAAACCTGACACTAATACAAGAAGAAATAGAGAAATCCACAAAGTGGCAGATTTGACACATGCAACTGAGTAATTATAAAAGAAACAAGTTATCAATAAAGATCTGGTAGTGTGATGGAAATAATTAGCAGAAGAAGCATATGGTTGAAGGCATATTTATAAACCAAAAACAAATTTCTCCTGAATTTAATAAAAACAATTTATAAGATTTATAAATAATTACTTACTTTTTCTTGAAGTTACTTTAGCTTGAAGTTTCTTCGTTTGAGATTCGCTTCTTGATAATAAAACTTTCTCCTCAGGCAACAGATGTTCAAGTGATATATCCTTTTTTTTGATTTCTAAAGGAAACGCTAAATAGAAAAAAATAGATGTGCAATAGAACTTCTGGATATGCCAAGTAATCATCAGAATTTCAACCCATGGAAGTAAAATGAGAAAATCATGTGAATAGTTTTCATGAGCATGTGTGGAGGCAGTGATACTACTTATAATTAATGACCATTCAAATACCAACCAAAAAGTATCATTACTTTTGTTCTCTAGTTATCATAGGGTATTCACACTTTAGGTCAAAGTTAAAAGTTGATGAAATATAGTCTGAAGTACACACTGACGAATCAAAGGAAAAGATCTGATGAGTTCAACATAAAATAATTTAAAGTTATCGATAATTATTATACTCACTCTTGTGTCTTTCCACTCCAGAATTTATTTGTTTCTTTTCTTGCATTTGGAGTTTTGACTTTGAATCTTGATGAACAGAAATCACATTTTCATTTGGTACTACAATACGAGCTATATCAAGAGATGCATTTAGTCCATCAAATGGAAACATAAATCTATGAATGTATAATATGTACATTTCTCTTATTTTTATAAAGTTATAAGTAAATTACCATAATGCTAGATCTGACACAAAAATAGAATAATTTTAATGGCTGCTGTGGAAGCTAAGCCATTATTTCATAAATATTCTGAAGCATCAAATAAAGTTTATATTGGTCTCCAGGATTCATGAGTTTATACTTTAATACATAATCAAAATACTTACATAATACATGATAATTTATACTTTAGCTTAATATATAATCATAGGCCAAACAATGAAAATGCATATGCATAAGATCATTCGTTATAGCATTATTTGTAATTGCAAAATATTCAAAACCATTGAGATTTTCACACACAGGAGATTGGTCAAATGAACAGATATATATACCACAAACAATGGTATGATATTAATTACAGTATATAATTATGTGGAGATGGGGCTGAGAGTTGCCAGAGAATCTGAGAGCTAATTTGCACCCAATGACTGCTGTTACTTCTAAACAGCTACCAGGCAATGATAGACAGCCTATGTCCCAGCAAAGTATTGAGACTCATGGTTAAATTATAAGGGATTTTTTTAAAAAAAATGTAGAACCTTCTGAGATCACTTTACCTACCTACCAAAGGCACCTTAGAACATTATGTACTCTTCTTAAACTTAATGAGAAAAAGTGGTACCTTGTGGAATAAGTCACTACAGAACCCCTCCTTCAGAGTGTCATGACAGAGAAGCTTCACTCAAGGGGGAGAAAGAAAGGGGGTGTATGAGATGCCAACTTCAAGACCCTCTCATTCCTCAGCTTAGTGATTGCTTGGGCTCTGATCGCTTGGGCATACCCATGATGAACCTACCACTAAAATCATGTTTGGACCACCCTTGCAGAGGCAAGAGCAGCCCTATGAATCACAACGCTGGTTGTCCTTTGGTTCTACAATCAAGAGTAAGAACAATAGAGGAGATGGTTGACCAGACTCAGATTTCTAGGTTCTTTCATGCCACTCTTGCTGATTTTCCAATTCAATCAAACTTATGCATAAGGGCAGGTCATATGTTCTGTGACAAAATCCAGAACTTAACTGAAAAATTTTCAGGCATGGGAAAAGCAGCAGCTCCTGAGGTAGAAAAAGACTGACCAGCAGGAAAGCGATATATTAGGTTGGTACAAAAGCAATTTATGGCAAAAACTGCAATTGCTTTTGCACCAACCTAATAAAATGGCAATCAAGCGCCCTCTCCTGAATGATGCCTGTAGAGACAATCTCTAGGTCTGGTTACTAAACAGTGAAGTTGATGGGCCCTACTAGGGTCAGCACATTGAAGACCCTATGATTAATGAAGTGTTACTCCCTCCACCCTTCCCTGTGAATTTGGAGATGATGTGCAGTCGCCTATCTTTTCGTCCTCTCAATCCCCTAAAATGAAAAGGAAGCACAATCATTGTTGGCCATGGGCACTTTAACATTCCCCACCACACAAGAAACTTGATGGCACCCATCTATAAGGGTACCAAGAAGACCTTACTTTTGTGTGGCGCTCAACCAACAAAATGCCCTAGGGCTAACCAACAAGCCTTCAGGACTATCCTTCTCCTTGGCTCCTATAATTCCCACTTGCTATTTGAGTTACAGACCTCAACAACCTCTCAGTTTGTTGACTGAAGCCTAGGGAAGAACAACATCGCTACACGTGGTAAGTGATCATTGGGTATGATCTCCAGGAAACTAATCTCCCAGAGTCAGCTGAAAGGTACACTCTTCAAGATACTGTAGGCGAATTATTGGGCCTTGGTAGATATTGAGTGCATGTCCAATGGCTGTGAAATAATCTTATGACCAGAAACTCCAACATGAAGTTAACATTTTCATTTTTGCTCTCTACTTATCTTAAGACTTCAGGGCAAAGTCTACGATTTCCATAAAATACATGCTAAAATACACATTCAGGAATCAAAGGCAAAGATCTTCTGATAAGTTTAATTTTAAAATAATTTAAAGTCATCTATAATTACTACACTTACTATTACGCCTTTCCCTTCCAGGAGTTATTTTTTTCTTTTCTTGCATTTGGAGTTTTGACACTGAATCTTGATGAACAAACATAGAATTTTTATCTGGTACTACAAAATGAACCACATAAAGAGATACATTTAGTCCGCTAAATGAAAAAACAAATCTATTGTGAAATCTCTATATTTGAAGTTTATAACAAGTATATAGCAATATTTTTTCTCATTTTTATAAAATTATAAGTAAATCACCATAATTTAAATCTGACATGAAAATGATGAAAATAGTTTTAATGGGTGTTACAAAAGCTGTCTCATTATATCATAAATATTCTAAGGCATCAAATATATTTTCTATTGGTCTTCAGAATTCATTGATTATTTACACTGTAGGTTAATACACAGTAATAGACCAAACAATAAAAATTTGTATGCACATTATTCATTACCATATTATTCATAATTGCAAAATATTCAACACATCTAAATATTCAAGTATAATATATTGGCTCAATAAACAAAGATATATACTATAAATTATGATATGATATAAATACTCTACATATCACTATATATAATTCTATACATATTATGTAAAAATAATAAAGGTTTCTATAAACTAACATGGAGGGATTTCTAGAAGATAATGTTAAGTGAAAAATAATCTTAAAAACAGGATATCTAGTACGGTAACTTTTGAGTCAGAAATAACCAATCAGAAAAAAACAGAAATAGAGAAATATTAACCTTTTCAAAATGAGACACAGGTAAAATAAGCAAGAAAACACTGTAGTTTGTTATCTACAAGACAACAGGGCAGGAAAAAGGATGGGAATACAAAGAGAAGGAATGTGGCAGAAATTATATTCTTCTAAGGATATCTTTTGCATAATATTTACTTTTGGAAGTAGGTTAATGTTTTACATATTTGATATGGTTTGGACATGAGTCCCCTCCAAATCTCATGTTGAAATGTGATCCCTAAGGTTGGAGGTATTGCCTGGTGGGAGGTGTTTGGGTCATGGGGGCAGATCCTTCATGAATGGCTTGGTGCCCTCTCTATGGTAATGAGTTCACATAAAATCTGGTTGTTGACAAAGACATTGGGATGTCCCCCATCTCTCTCTTGCTTCTCTTGCCATGTGACATGCTGGTTCCCCTTCCCTTCCACCATAGCTAAAAACTCCCTGAGGCCTCATCAGAAGCTGAACAGATGTTGGTACCATATCTGTACAGCCTGCATAACCATGAGCCAAATAAGCCTCTTTTCTTCATAAATTACCCAGCCTCAGGTATTCCTTCACAGCAATACAAAATGCATGAACACAATATTCTAAAAATAAAATTAATTCAATAAGGATAAGAAGTGGGAACTAAAACTGAAAGGAAACTAACCTAATATATGGAACAAAAAAACAAGTACTAATCCATGTAACTAATAAATACAGTATTTGAAACATACCCTCAGTCTTGGGCAAGAGTGTTGGGGGCAGACTGCAAAGAAATCATGAAATTCTTTTAGTAGGTTTGTTTTTGTAGTAGTATATGCTAAGCAATTTTGTAAAAGTTTCAAAGTATTATAGGATAGAGCAACTGCATAAATCAGTTGGTGCTTCGAGAGAAAGGATTCAAAATACAAAAGAAAGGATATATACATACAAAATGAAGGAAATCAAGAACAAGCCCTTAGACACTAAAATTAAAGGTGTCCAAGAGATCTCATGATTTCTAAAATATGTGTATTCATGTACACATGCATGCATATGTGCTCATGCATGTGTATGTGTGTGTATGTATAAGTAGATATATACACATAAATATATACGTGTATTCTAAGGAGTATGGGTTCAAGTTAAAATGTTGTGTGTGATCTTTCAGGCACACCCATAGACAAGTACAAAGGTTTTATCTGGCAGTTATGGAAGACAGCTTTCCATCCCACACTGGATGTAACATACAGCCAGTGCACTGTGATCTCCGTAGGGATGTGCAGGTATGGGTTCAGATCTCTCCAGGCCAACCATGCTCTTACTCATATCTGCACACCTAGCTCAGGAACCCTCCATTTGGAGTCCTTCTTGTGAGGGAGTAGAGAGCTCGACTAAGGTACTGTATTATTAAGGGGACTCTGGTTAGATGACCTTGCTGGGGAGCCTTGAAGACAATTTTCTTTCTTCTGACAGTGTTCAGTACTTTTCCACTCCTGGTCCTCTCCACATGCCACATCTATATAATGGCAAGAGCTTTTCATTTGGGGTTCCCATGGCAGTGAAATGATCCCCCCATTTTTAAATGAAACATCTGCCACTCATCTGGTGCCTTTAATGGGGAAAAGTGGAATTCTGGTGAAGCTGGGCCCTTTCCTGTGTAGACTCTTGCTTATGTTATCACAGTATCTGAAAAAAGGCTTAATTATTCCTTTCAGTTTGACTTGTTATATTAATTGACCAACTCAACAACTGGCAGCTCTCTCTCTGACAAAGTGGTGCAGTGAGCAGAGTTGACCAGTAAATACACTGCCTTTCTAGAAAAGAAAAGAACCCCGAGGATCCCATGGAAATTTTTTGGGAGATGTTAGAGAAATGCATGGGACACTCACGGATGATGCCAATGAATCCTTTGCAAGAGTCTGGGAGTCCCATAGAGCACTTCACCAGCCATGACAATGTGTCTCAGGAAATATTTTGTGGGCCCTGGGAGTGCTTTTGGGGAATGCTAGTGATTGTATATATAAGCTTTTCAGGTCTCAGGGAGAACTAATAATCCTTCCTTTTAGCTTCCAATTCCCTAGCTGAGCTTGCTTGGTGGGTTAAATTATAAATCCAAAAGAGAGACTCTAGGAAAGCTGGGGAAGCAATCCCTACCTAGTAATACAATCTCGGAGGCAATGGCAACAAAAGTCATCAGAGACCCTGAGTTGCTGAGTTGCACCCAGTTACTAGTGTTAGCTCTAAGCATGTCTCTGACACTGAAAGATAGCCTGCGATGCAGCAAATTGTTGAGACTCATGCCTAAAATGGAAAAGAATGTAGAGCCCTTTGGAGTTACTTCACCCAGCTATCTAAAGTGATCTTAGAGACTTGGGTTTTTCACCTCCACGATGAAGAAGGAAATCTTGTTAAACTTAGTGAGAGTGTCATCTTGTGGGGTGTATCATTATAGACCCCCACTTTCAGAGTATACTATTAGCAGCCACTTTGCCTAAAGAGGAGGAGGAAGAGAGGACTGGGATGAAAGGCTGCAAGCATCCAAAACAATCTACATCCTCAGCTGGATATTATTTGGGCTTAGAAAGATTTGATCCAACATGATAAGTTCCTTGATATTAAAAAACATAGTTGGACTATTCTTCCAATGTATATAGCTTCCCTGTTAGCCACCCCGGTGGTAGATGAGACTGTTAACAAGACTCAGTTTTTTAGGTTCATTCGTTTTACTCCTACTGGTTACTGAACTCAATTAAACATCCTCATAAGGCCATGCTGATCAGTCTGTGGTACAATCCAGATATTAACTGATGACAAATCGGTATCAGAATTGAAAAAGTAGCTGCTGCACAGATAGCAACAACTGGCTGGCAGAAAGAGTGATGTAAAACTGGTAATCACGCACTCTCTCCAGGACCATCTGGGCAAGCACTTTCACAACAAGATCGCTGATTCCAGTTACTTAAGTGTGGGTTCTAAGGAAATTGATGGGCTCTCCCACCAAGGAACTCATGGCAAGGTAGTGAGCCATGGGGCCCTACAGGGTGGTCTGCTAGGGTCTACGAAGTAATGGATCCTGATTAATAAAGCGCTATTCCTTCTGCTCCTCCCAGTGAAGCTGGAGGTGAACTGGAGACTCCCATTCAACTCTTAACCGATGTCTCAGCTTTCAAAACTAAACAAGACTAAGGATCAGGCCAAGGTCCCTATGTGCCTATGAAGAACGGTGGTCATATAACAAGGTAAAAGTTCAATAGGGATATAGAGGAGCATTGCATTTCTTGGGCCTTTTGGATTTGGTGCACAACTATGATCTCCATAATCCCTAACACTATGATGGGAGGGTTACGGGTTGAATTGTGCCCCTCTAAAACAGGTAAGTTGAAGTCCTAACCCTCAGTATCTCAGAATGTGATCTTATTTGGAAATAGGAACTTTACAGAGATTAATGAAAATGAGGTCATTAGAGTGGGCCCTAATTCAATATAAATGATGTCCTTATAAAAACAGAAAATTGGAGCACCCACACACACTGGGAAAATGCCATGTGAAATTGAAGGCAGAGATTGGGGTGATGCATATAGAAGCCAAGGAATGTCAAAAATAGCAACCCACAAGGAGCTCAGGCAGAGGCATGGAATTGATTTTCCAAGAATGAACCAACCATGTCAACACCTTGATCCCAGACTTCTAGCCCACTGACGACAATTTTTGTTGTTGAAGCCACCCAATTTGTGGGTACTTTGTAATGGTAGCCCTACCACTGGGAAGTAGATCGCTGCTGTAACAAAGTATGCATGGGTCCCACTGGACCACTAAAACCTCCATTGTTATGGCCCCCAACTACTGAATGTATAACAGTATAGTTATATTGTTTTAGTATATTCCTGCTTGCATTCATTCCCAAGCCCCAAAGAAAATTGCTCTAGTTAGAGCCATTTGGTGGGATATATGGGGACCATGAATTTACCTGATTAATAGTACCTAATGCTATTGTCTACCAAAAAAAATCCATGAACTAGGGGAGAAAAGATATAACTATTTCATTTCTGAGCTTAATAAAGCCAGTTTTCTATGGGACTAATTTTCCATCCAATAACCCCATGGGGCCTGTGTACTGGCCTTGGGTACACACAGAGATTCGATTGATTATTGGTAGTTCATTCCATTAGTGTAGCCCTAAGCACTGGCAGTACTGACTTTGTGACTGTCACAGAGGCTACTGCCCAAGACAAAGGAACTTAATATACAACAACTGACATCTCGTATACTCTTTTCAATATCCATGTCCCTGTTCTAACCTTCTACTATATTGAAGACATCTTCCTGGTGGGTCCAGACACTACCAAACAAAAACTGTTGCCCTGTTGACCCACATGCAGCAACACAGCTAGCCCAAGAATACAGACAAGGTACAAAGACCTAAAACCCAAGTGAATTCCAGGGTATGATCTAGAAAGGGGCATAAGGTCTTATTCCAGAGGAGACAATTGCCAAGCCTTTGGCCCACTCTATCCCAACAAATATAAAGAAGTCCCAGGGACTATTGGGACTATTCAGCTACTAGTACATTCACATCACACAAGCAGAAATCTAGATGACACCCATATATTATGTTACCAGTAAGGCTGCCATTTTTGAGTGGTGTTCTGACCAACAGGATTGCCTGGAGGCTTTCCAATGGGCCATGCTGCTAACTTTACCCTGAGTCCTTGTGATCCACATTTGCCTTTGAGTTATAGGTCTCAGCAACTTCTTTGTGCACCAATTAGAGCCTACGGCAGAAAGACACTGACACAGGACTGAGGTGTCCATTGGGTTTCTGAATTCATAATCTCCCAAAATCAGCTGAAATCTACACATTCTTCATGAGACAAATTTTGGCCTGTTATTGGACATTGGTGGATACTGAGTCTATGACTCATAGCCATAAAATAGTGTTATAAAGTTCAACCAAAGTTCACCAATTCTGGGCTATTTTTTAAGTTATCTTGGGGTATTTACATATTAGTTCACAGTATAAAATATCTTTTTTTTTTCTTTTGGAGACAGGGTTTCACTTTGTCCCCCAGAATGGAGCACAGTTGTGTGAACACAGCTCACTATAGCCTCAACCTCCTGGGCTCAAGCTATCCTCCATTTCAGCACCCGCAAGTAGCTGGGACTATAGGCATGAGCCACTACGCATGGCTAATTTTTGCATTTTTTTGTAGACACAGGGTTTTGCCATGTTGCCCAGGCTGGTCTTGAACTCCTGAGCTCAAGCAATATACCCACTTCGGTCTCCCAAAGTGCTGGGATTATACAATCATAAACCAAAATTCCTGAAGCTACTACTGAGCATTTTGGGGAGATACTGAAAAGCCTCTGGGGCACTTTTAGGTAGTGCACACAGATAATCTGCAAGAGTCTGAGGGTCATCAACTATGCCAATGGGTCTCAGAAAGTGCACTGAATGCCACAAACAGCTCTGAGAGAGTTCTAAGGGATGTTTACATAAGATTCTATGTTCTTAGGGGAATCGTTATCCTTCCCTTAGCCCCCAGTTGTCTTTTTTAAATTATAATTATAGTTTAAGTTCTGGGATACATGTGCAGAACATGCAGGCTTGTTACATAGGTATACATGTGCCATGGTGGTTTGCTGCACCCATCAACCCATCATCTACGTTAGGTATTTCTCCTAATGCTATCCCTCCCCTTGACCCCCTACCCCCCAACAGGCCCCAGTGTGTGATGTTCCACTCCCTGTGCCCATATGTTCTCATTGTTCAACTCCCACTTATGAGAGAGAACATGCGGTGTTTGGTTAGTTGGCTGTGTATTAGTTGCTGTGTGTTGTTAGTTTGCTGTGTTAGTTTGCTGAGAATGATGGTTTCCAGCTTCATCCATGTCCCTGCAAAGGACATGAACTCATCCTTTTTTATGGCTGCATAGTATTCCATGGTGTATATGTGCCATGTTTTCTTTATCCAGTCTATCATTGATGGGCATTTGGGTTGGTTCCAAGTCTTTGCTATTGTGAATAGTGCTGCAATAAACATACGTGTGCATGTGTCTTTATAGTATAATAATTTATAATCGTTTGGGTATATAATTTATAATCGTTTGGGTATATACCAAGTAATGGGATTGCTGGGTCAAATGGTATTTCTAGTTCTAGATCCCTGAGGAATTGCCACACTGTCTTCCACAATGGTTGAACTAATTTACACTCCCATCAACAGTGTAAAACCATTCCTATTTCTCCACATCCTCTCCAGCATCTGATGTTTCCTGACTTTTTAATGATCACCATTCTAATTGATGTGAGATGGTATCTCATTGTGGTTTTGAATTGCATTTCTCTAATGACCAGTGATGATGAGCTTTTTTTCATGTTTGTTGGCTGCATAAATGTCTTCTTTTGAAAAGTGCCTGTTCATATCCTTCACCCACTTTTTGATTAGGTTGTTTGTTTTTTTCTTGTAAATTTGTTTAAGTTCCTTGTAGATTCTGGATATTAGTCCTTTGTCAGATGGATAGATTGCAAAAATTTTCTCCCATTCTATAGGTTGCCTGTTCATGCTGATGATATTTTTGCTGTGCAGAAGCTCTTTAGTTTAATTAGATCTCATTTGTCAATTTTGGCTTTTATTGCAATTGCCTTTGGTGTTTAGTCATGAAGTCTTTGCCCTTGCCTATGTCCTGAATGGTATTGCCTAGGTTTTCTTCTAGGGTTTTTATGGTTTTAGGTCTTAGGTTTAAGTCTTTAATCCATCTTGAGTTAATGTTTGTATAAGATGTAAGGAAGGGGTCCAGTTTCAGTTTTCTACATATGGCTAGCCACTTTTCCCAACACCATTTATTAAATAGGGAATCCTTTCTCCGTTGCTTGTTTTTGTCAGGTTTGTCAAAGATCAGTTGGTTCTACATGCGTAACATTATTTCTGAGTCCTCTGTTCTGTTCCATTGGTCTATATATCTGTTTTGGTACCAGTACCATGCTGTTTTGGTTACTGTAGCCTTGTAGTATAGTTTGGAGTCAGGTAGTGTGATGCCTCCAGCTTTGTTCTTTTTGCTTAGGATTGTCTTGACTATACGGGCTCTTTTTTTGGTTCCATATGAAACTTAAAGTAGTTTTTTCCAATTCTGTGAAGAAAGTCAATGATAGCTTGATGGGAATAGCATTGAATCTATAAATTATTTTGGGTAGTATGGCCATTTTCACGATCTTGATTATTCCTATCCATGAGCATGGAATGTTTATCCATTGGTTTATCTCTTCTCTTACTTCCTTGAGCAGTGGTTTGTAGCTTTCCTTGAAGAGGTCCTTTACATCCCTCATAAGCTGTATTCCTAGGTATTTTATTTTCTTTGTAGCAATTGTGAATGGGAGTTCACTCATGAGTTGGCTCTCTGTTTGTCTATTATTGGTGTATAGGAATGCTTGTGATTTTTGCACATTAATTTTGTATCCTGGGACTTTGCTGAAGTTGCTTATCAGCTTAAGGAGATTTTGGGCTGAGACAATGGGGTTTTCTAAATGTGCAATTATGTCATCTGCAAACAGAGACAATTTGACTTCCTCTCATCCTATTTGAATATCTTTTATTTTTTTCTCTTCCCTAATTGCCCTGGCCAGAACTTCCAATACTATGTTGAATAGGAGTGGTGAGAGAGGGCATCCTTGTCTTGTGCCGGTTTTCAAAGGGAATGCTTCCAGCTGTTGCCCACTCAGTATGATATTGGCTGTAGGTTTGTCATAAATAGCTCTTATTATTTTGAGATACATCCCATCATTACCTAGTTTATTGAGTGTTTTTACCATGAATTTTCTCAAAGGCCTTTTCTGCATCTATTGAGATAATCATGTGGTTTTTGTCATTGGTTCTGTTTATGTGACTGATGGCATTTATTGATTTGCATATGTTGAACCAGTCTTGCATCCCAGGGATGAAGCTGACCTGATCGTGGTGGATAAGCTTTTTAACGTGCAGCTGGATTCTGTTTGCCAGTATTTTATTTAAAATTTTCGCATCGATGTTCATCAGGGATATTGGCCTGAATTTTTGTTGTTGTTTTTGTGTCTCTGCCAGATTTTGGTATCAGGATGCTGCTGGTCTCATAAAATGAGTAGGGAAGATTCCCTCTTTCTCTATTGTTTGGAATAGTTTCAGAAGAAATGGTACCAGCTCCTGATTATACCTCTGGTAGAATTTAGCTGTGAATCTGTCTGGCCCTGGGCTTTTTTTTTTTTTTTTGGTAGGCTATTAATTACTGCTTCAATTTCAGAACTTCTTATTGGTCTATTCAGGGATTCAACTTCTTCCTGGTTTAGTCTTGGGAAAGCTGTATGTGTCCAGGAATTTAACCATTTCTTCTAGATTTTCTAGTTTATTTTCATAAAGGTGTTTACGGTATTCTCTGATGGTAGTTTGTATTTCTGTGGGATCAGGGGTGATATCCCCTTTATCATTTTTTATTGTGTCTATTTGATTCTTCTCTCGTTTCCTCTTTATTAGTCTGGCTCGTGGTCTATCTATTTTGTTAAATTTTTCAAAAAAACAGCTCCTGAATTCATTTATTTTTGAAGGGTTTTTCGTGTCTCTCTCTCCTTCAGTTCTGCTCTGATTTTAGTTATTTCTTGCCTTCTGCAAGCTTTTGAATTTGCTCATCCTTCTCTAGTTCTTTTAATTGTGATGTTAGGGTACGGATTTTAGGTCTTTCCCACTTTCTCATGTGGGCATTTAGTGCTATAAATTTATCTCTACACACTGCTTTAAATGTGTTCCAGAGATTCTTGTACATTGTGTCTTTGTTCTCATTGGTTTCAAAGAATTCACTTATTTCTGCCTTCATTTCGTTATTTACCCAGTAGTCATTCAGGAGCAGGTTGTTCAGTTTCCATGTAGTTGTCTGATTTTGAGTGAATTTCTTAATCCTGAGTTTTACTTTGATTGCACTGTGGTCTGAGAGATTGTTACGATTTCCATTCTTTTGCATTTGCTGAGGAGTTATAACTTGCTTCCAATTATGTGGTCAATTTTAGAATAAGTGCGACGTGGTGCTGAGAAGAGTGTATATTCTGTTGATTTGGGGTGGAGAGTTCTGTAGATGTCTATTAGGTCCACTTGGTGCAGAGCTGAGTTCAAGTCCTGAATATCCTTGTTAATTTTCTGTCTCATTGATCTAATATTGACAGTGGGATGTTAAAGTATCACACTATTATTGTGTGGGAGTCTAAGTCTCTAAGAACGTTCTTTATGAATCTGGGTGCTCCTGTATTGGGAGCATATATATTTAGGATAGTTAGCTCTTCTTGTTGCATTGATCCCTTTGCCATTATGTAATGCTCTTCGTTGTCTTTTTTGATCTTTGTTTGTTTAAAATCTGTTTTATTAGAGACTAGGATTGCAACCCCTGGGTTTTTCTGTTTTCCATTTGCTTGGTAAATATTCCTCCATCCCATTATTTTGAGGCTATGTGTGTCTCTGCATATGAATTGGATCTCCTGAATACAGCACACCAATGGGTATTCACTCTTTATCCAATTTGCCAGTCTGTGTCTTTTAATTGAGGCATTTTCTCATTTACATTTAAGGTTAAGATTGTTATGTGTGAATTTGATCCTGTCATCATGATGTTAACTGGCTATTTTGCACATTAGTTGATGCAGTTTCTTCACAATGTCACTGGTCTTCATATTTTGGTATGTTTTTGCAGTGGCTGCTACCAGTTTTTCCTTTCCATATTTAGTGCTTCCTTCAGGAGCTCTTGTAAGGCAGGCCTGTGGTGAAAATTCTCTCTCAGCATTTGCTTGTCTGTAATGGATTTTGTTTCTCCTTTGCTTATGAAGCTTAGTTTGGCTGGATATGAAATTCTGGGTTGAAAATTCTTTAAGAATGTTGAATATTGGCCCCCACTCCCTTCTGGTTTGTAGGGCTTCTGCAGAGAGATCTGCTGTTAGTCTGATGGGCTTCCCTTTGTGGGTAACCTGACCTTTCTCTCTGGCTGCCCTTAACATTTTTTCCTTCATTTCAACCTTGGTAAATCTGATAATTATGTGTCTTGGGGTTGCTCTACTCGGGGAGTATCTTTGTGGTGTTCTCTGTATTTCCTGAATTTGAATATTGGCCTGTCTTGCTATTTTGGGGAAGTTCTCCTGGATAATATCCTGCAGCATGTTTTCCAACTTGGTTTCATTCTCCCCGTCTCTTTCAGGTACACCAGTGAATCGTTAAGTTTGGTCTTTTCACATAGTCCCATATATCTTAGAGGCTTTCTTGGTTCCTTTTCATCCTGTTTTCTCTAATCTTGTCTTCATGCTTTATTTCATTAAGTTGATCTTCAATCTTGGATATCCTTTCTTCCACTTGATTGATTCATCTATTGATACTTGTGTATGCTTCACAAAGTTCTCGTGCTGTGTTTTTCAGCTCCATCGGGTCATTTATGTTCTTCTCTAAACTGGTTATTCTAGTTAGCAGTTCCTGTGACATTTTACCAAGGTTCTTAGCTTCCTTGCATTGGGTTAGAACATGCTCCTTTAGCTCAGAGGAGTTTGTTATTACCCACCTCCTGAAGCCTACTTCTGTCAGCTTGTCAAACTCATTCTCTCTCCTGTTTTATTCCCTTGCTGACGAGGAGTTGTGATCCTTTGGAGGAGAAGAGGCATTCTGGCATTTGGAATTTTCAGCCTTTTTGCACTGGTTTTTACTCATCTTCATGGATTTATCTACCTTTGGTCTTTGATGTTGGTGACCCTCAGATGGGGTTTTTGCGTGGGTTTCCTTTTTGTTGATGTTGATACTATTGCTTTCTGTTTGTTAGTTTTCCTTCTAACAGTCCGGCCCCTCTTCTGCAGGTCTGCTGGAATTTGCTGGAGGTCCACTCCATACCCTGTTTGCCTGGGTATCACCAGCGGAGGCTGCAGAACAGTAAAGATTGCTGCCTGCTCTTTCCTCTGGAAGCTTTGTCCCAGAGGGGCACCGGCCAGATGCCAGCTGGAGCTCTCCTGTATGAGGTGTCTGTTGACCCCTGCTGGGAGGTGTCTCCCAATCAGGAGGCACTGGGGTCAGGGACCCACTTGAGGAGGCAGTCTGTCCCTTAGCAGAGCTTGAGCACTGTGTGGGAGATCTGCTGCTCTCTTCAAAGCCAGCAGTCAGGAACATTTAAGTTTGCTGAAGCTGCGCCCACAGCCACCCCTTCCCCCAGATGCTCTGTCCCAGGGAGATGGGAGTTTTATCTATAAGCCCCTGGCTGGGGCTACTGCCTTTCTTTCAGAGATGCCCTGCCCAGAGAGGAGGAATCTAGAAAGACAGCCTGGTTACAGTGGCTTTGCTGCGCCGTGGTGGGTTCTGCACCGAATTCGAACTTCCCAGCAGCTTTGTTTACACTGTGAGGGGAAAACCACCTACTCAAGCCTCAGTAATGGCGACACCCCTCCCCCCACCAAGCTTGAGCATCCCAGGTTGACTTCAGACTGCTGTGCTGGCTGCGAGAATTTCAAGCCAGTGGATCTCAGTTGGGCTCTGTGAGGGTGGGATCCACTGAGGAAGACCACTCAGCTCCCTGGCTTCAGCCCCCTTTCCAGGGGAGCGAATGGTTCTGTCTCACTGGCATTCCATGTGCCACTGGGTTATGAAAAAAACTCCTGCAACTAGCTTGGTGTCTGCCCAAACAGCTGCCCAGTTTTGTGCTTGAAACCTAGGGCCCTGGTGGTGTAGGCACCCAAAGGAATCTCCTGGTCTGCGTGATGCGAAGACTGTGGGAAAAGCATAGTATCTGGGCCAGATGGCACTGTCCCTCATGGCACAGTCCCTCACGGCTTCCCTTGGCTAGGGGAAGGAGTTCCCTGACCCCTTGCACTTCCTGGGTGAGGCAATGCCCCACCCTGCTTCTGCTCGCCCTCCTTGAGCTGCACCCACTTTCTAACCAGTCCCAATGAGACGAACCGAGTACCTCAGTTAGAAATGCAGAAACCACCCACCTTCTGCATTGGTATCACTGGGAGCTGCAGACTGGAGCTGTTCCTATTTGGCCATCTTGCCTGGGAATATAGCCCCCAGTTTTCTAACCAAACTCCCACAGTGGTTCAAATTAGAGAACCAACAAAGGGCTTCTTACAGTATCCTGGCCAGCCACGCTGATAGTCCCTTGGTTGCACAGTGAGAGTGAAAAGAACAGATGATAAGATTGTTGACCAGACTCAGATTTCTAGATTCAGTTATTTCAATTCTGCTGGTTATCAAACCTCCTCCTAAGGTCATGTCAATCAGATATAGTCCAGATATTAACTGGCAAATCTTGAGCATGGAAAACGTGGCTGCTGCCCAGATAGCAAACACTGGCCAATGGAAAGAGTGGCAAAAAAATGGCAATCATGTGCCCTCTGCTGCTCAATCCAGGCAATGGCCTTCTAGAGGAGATCTATGAGATTGGTCACCAAACAACAGGGTCTCAAAGGAGTAGGATTGATGGGCCCCCCAATAGATAGTGAGCCATGGTGGTCCCACCAGGCACTAAGGTCCATATGGTGATGTCCACTATGAACAGTATGAGTGCTATTTTCTCTAACCCTCTCAGTGAATCTTGAGACTTGAGTAGTTTGCTTCCTTGATGAAGGAAGTAATCTTATGAAATTTAGAGTGATACATTGTGGGATCTAACATACAGACCCTTCCTACTTTTACCCAGATCTCTCATCTTTCACAAATAAGCATGACTAGGGGTTAGTACAAGGTCCCTAGGTCCCCAGTGGGGAACTGAGGACCTACACCTAGGACAAAGTTTGAAGTGGGGGTGGGAAAAAATGACATTTCTTGGGCCTTTTGGATACTGGTCAACAAATTACTGTGATCCTCACAATCCCTGACATGAGGACGAGGAGGAAACAAATAATTCTTTCTAGTTTTTAATCTGAGGTCACCACAAACAGGACCTCTTTCTAAACCAACTATGGGGTAGATCCCTTTGGGCCACTATAAACCCCTATTGTCATGGCCTCTACTACTGAATATATTACTAGTTAAATACATTTTCTATATGAACCAACACTAGCATTTACACCCACCTCCTGATGGGATTTGCTGCAGTCCAGGTATTTCGTGGGATATGTGGAAGATCATGACCTACCAAACTACTGGCACGTAGTACCAATGTCTACCAAAACCAGTATTAACACTCTGGGGATAAAAAAGGGAATAATTTCCCTCATTGCCAAGCTTTAAGAACCCAACTATCTGTACACTATTTCTGTATTCAATAGACTCATCTGGCCTATGTGAAAGACCTCAGGTGCCTAAACTCTGTACTGATAAGGGTTCTAAAAAGCATAAGTGCTACCTTTGGCACCAATGGTAACCTGACATTGTGACAGTTACAGAGGCTGTTGTCCAGGATGAAGGAACTTGGTATGTACCAATTGACATAGCAAATGTCCTTTCAGCATTCCTCTCCAAGAGGATGATCAGGATTAGTTAGAATTATGTAGGATAGGTTACAATAAACCACTAATATCTTTCCACAAGGCTTCCAAAATTCCCCAACTATCTGTATCAATGCATAGGTTATGACCTGGACAAAGTTCCACTCCTGGAAGAAGCATTAACTTTCTGAACTGTTTATGAAATCATCCTAGTGAGCTCAGACAAGGACACTACCCAAAAGGAACCAGATGCTCTGTTCACCCACGTGCAGCATGTACTGTGCCATTATCATTGGAAAAGGCACAAGGACCTAAAACCCAAGTGAAATTCCTGGGTGTAATCCGTAAAGGCTATGGTGTAATCTGTAAAGGCTATGGTGCTCCATTCCAGAGATGATGATTGTCGATGCTTTTGGCCAGCTCTGACTCGAAAAGTAAAAATAATGTGAGCAATAAATGGGACCATTCATCTGCTGCCATGCTCACATTCAAGCCACAGAGATCAGACAGCATCCTCTATCAGGTTACCATAAAGACCACTACCTTTGAATGGGGCCTTGACCAGCATGATACCCTGGAAATCCTTCTACTGGCCACCCTGGCTGCCCTTGTACCTCTCTGATTTCCATTTGTTGCTTCAGTTACAGATCTCGGCAATACTTCTGCCTACTGACTGGGACTACAACAGATCAGAGGTGCCCATAAATGGCCAGCAGCAGATGAGAGGTACCCATCTTTTGTGAGACAATTATTGGCCTATTATTGTCCTGAGATGGATACTGAGAGCATAAATTAAGTTGTGTAATAATATTACGACAAGAAATTCTAACCAAAACATATCATTATCTTTGTTTTCTTTCTTGAGTTATGTTAGAGTATTTACAGAGTATAAATTATCAATAAAATATATGTTCTCAAATACGTAAGTATGAACCAAAGAAAAAAGTTCTTTTGAGATTTACTTAAAATAATATAAAATAGCTATCATCATTATACTTACTGCTACGTCCTTCTCCTTCAGAAGTTTCTTGAATCTCTAATTGCACTTGGATTTTTGACACTGAATCTTGATGTTTAAGCATAGGATTTTCACCTGATTCTTCATCATGAGCTATGTTAAGAGAGAAATTTAGTCCCTTACTAGAAAAACAAATCTACTATGAAATCCTAGAGTTCAAATTTATAACAAGTGGAAGCAACATTTTCTTTCATCTTATAAAGTTATAAGTAAACTACCTTAATGCTAGCTCTGACATGAAAATGGTGAGAAAAGTTTCAATGTATGTTGAAGATGTATTATTATTTCATAAATATTCCTAGATATTAAATGTGTTTTATATTAGTCTCTACTTTCCTTAAGTTATTTATACTTTAGGTTAATACATAATCATAGACCAAACAATGAAAATGCATATGTTCAAGGTCATTCATTACAGCATTATTTGTAATTGCAAAGTATTCAAAACCATTGAGATTTTTAAGCACAGGAGACTGGCTGAATGAACATATATATATACACACACACACAGTTATATGTATATATATACACACATGCATATATACATGTATATGTGTGTATGTATATATATATTTATATATATATACACACACACACCAGAAACAATGGTATAATATCAATTATGGTATATAATTATGTGTATCTATGTGTGGATGAATATATATGGTTTATGATATGGTACACATGGCTGTACATACAGTGAGAAGTTACCCTCCCATCTATGCTGATACATCCTACCTTTGCCCAATGTCTTTTTGTGGGAAAATGTAACATTAATGGAGTCAGTGACCTTCCATGTTTACACTCTTGCTTATGTTGTTGCAGTAAGTGAATAAAGGCTTAATTGTTACCTTCAATCTCGCTTGCTATCTTAATTGACCACCTTCACACTTGGCAGCTCCCCTGGTAACAAATGACTGTGAGCAGGGTGGTCAATTAAGCACAATGCCTTTCTGGAAAAGCAAAAAGCATGCAGATCCCCAGGGCATTTGTGGGAGATGCTAGAGTTGAGACCTCTTGGGGGATACTAGTGGATCATTTGCAAGAGTCTGACTGTCCCATGGTGCACTCTGCCAGCCCTATCAGTGGGTCTTAGAAAGTGCTGTCCAACACCATGGGGCACTCTCAGAGAATGCTAGCGGATTGTTTACATAAGCTTTTTGGTTCTGAGGGACACCAGTGGTCCTCCTCTTTAGGCCTAGACTCTCAGGCAAAGATGCCTGGTGGGGCAAATTAGAGATCCAACAGACGGCCTCTGAGAAAGCTAGAGAAGCAATTCCTTGGCCACTGCTATTGTCCCCTGCAGATGAGACTGAAAGTTTTCAGAGAACCTGCGAGCTGATTTGCATCAATAACAGCTCTTAGTTCTAAAGAGGTACCAGGCAATGACAGACAGCTTATGACCCAGCAAGGGATTGAGACTCATGGTTTAAATAAAACGAATGGAGAGCCCTTTGGGATTGCTTTCCTGTGTGATCTAGGAGAATTTAGAGGCATGGATTATTTGCCTGCATGATGAATGAGGTAATCTTGGTAAACTAACTTAGTGGTACCTTGTGGGCTGTGTCACTATAAAACCCCTCCTTTAGAGTGTCATGACAGAATAGGTTTTGCTCAAGGAGGATAAGCAAAGTCAGAGAATGAGAAGGGAACACCCAAGCCCTTCTTTTTCAACTGGGTTCTATTTGGGTTCTGACAACTTTGGCAAACCCATGCTCTCTTCCCTATGACTAAAATACATTTTCAGATTTATCTGGCTATACAGACCCACAAACCATACTGGTGATCCCTTGGTCTCTTGCTTGAGAGTGAGAGCAGTCAATGACGAGAGTGAGAGCAGTCAATGATAAGATTTTTAACAAGTCTCAGATTTCTAGGGTTATAAGTGTCACTCCTACTGGTTATGGAGCCAAATTAAAATTAATCCTCCTCTAAGGTCAGGCAAATTGGTCAGTGAAATAATCTAGATTGGGGTCCCCAGCACCGAGGCCATGACCAGTACTGGTCTCTGGCCTGTTAGAAACCGGGTCACACAGCAGTAGGTGAGCAGTGGGTGAGTGAGCGAAGATTCATCTGTATTTTCAACTGCTCCCCATCATTCACATTACTGCCTGAGCTCTGCCTCCTGTCAGATCACCAGTGGCATTAGATTTCCATAGGAACACAAACCCTATTGTAAACTGCACATCTGAAAGATCTAGGTTTTATTTTTATGGTTAGTTTTCTTATTTATTTATTTTTTTATTATACTTTAAGTTCTAGGGTACATGTGCATAACGTGCAGGATTATTACATATGTATACATGTGCCATGTTGATGTGCTGCACCAATTGACTTGTCATTTACATTAGGTATATCTCTTAATGCTATCCCTCCCCCCTCCCCCCACCCACGATAGGCCTCGGTGTGTGATGTTCCCCTTCCTGTGTCCAAGTGTTCTCATTGTTCAATTCCCACCTATGAGTGAGAACATGTGGTGTTTGGTTTTTTATCCTTGCGATAGTTTGCTGAGAATGATGGTTTCCAGCTTCATCCATGTCCCTACAAAGGACATGAACTCATCCTTTTTTATGGCTGCATAGTACTCCATGGTGTATATGTGCCACATTTTCTTAATCCAGTCTATCACTGAGGGACATTTGGGTTGGTTCCAAGCTTTGCTACTGTGAATAATGCTGCAATAAACATACGTGTGCACGTTGTCTTTACAGTAGCATGATTTATAATCCTTTGGGTATATACCCAGTAATGGGAGTGCTGGGTCAAATGGTATTTCTAGTTCTAGATGCTTGAGGAATTGGCACACTGTCTTCCACAATGGTTGAACTAGTTTACAGTCCCATCAGCAGTGTAAAAGTGTTCCTATTTCTCCACATCCTCTCCAGCACCTGTTGTTTTCTGACTTTTTAATGATCAACATGCTAAGTGGTGTGAGATGGTATCTCATTGTGGTTTTGATTTGCATTTCTCTGACGGCCAGTGATGATGAGCATTTTTTCATGTGTTTTTTGGCTGCATAAATGTCTCCTTTTGAGAAGTGTCTGTTCATATGCTTCGCCCACTTTTTGATGGGGTTGTTTGATTTTTTCTTGTAAATTTGTTTAAGTTCTTATAGATTCTGGACATTAGCCCTTTGTCACATGGGTAGATTGCAAAAATTTTCTCCCATTCTGTAGGTTGCCTGTTCACTCTGATGGTAGTTTCTTTTGCTGTGCAGAAGCTCTTCAGTTTAATTAGATCCCATTTGTCTATTTTGGCTTTCGTTGCCATTGCTTTTGGTGTTCTAGTCATGAAGTTTTTGTCCATGCCTATGATCTGAAAGGTATTGCCTAGGTTTTCTTCTAGGGTTTTTATGGTTTTAGGTCTAACATTTAAGTCTTTAATCCATGTGAATTAATTTTTGTACAAGTTGTAAGGAAGGGATCCAGATTCAGCTTTCTCCATATGGCTAGCCAGTTTTCCTAGCACCATTTATTAAATAGGGAATCCTTTCCCCATTTCTTGTTTTTGTCAGGTTTGTCAAAGATCAGATGGGTGTAGATGTGTGGTATTATTTCTGAGGGCTCTATTCTTTTCCATTGGTCTATATCTCTGTTTTGGTACCAGTACTATGCTCTTTTGGTTACTGTAGCCTTGTAGTATAGTTTGAAGTCAGGTAGCGTGATGCCTCCAGCTTTGTTCTTTTGACTTAGGATTGTCTCGGCGATGCGGGCTCTTTTTTGGTTTCATATGAACTTTAAAGTAGTTTTTTCCAATTCTGTGAAGAAAGTCATTGGTAGCTTGATGGGGATGGCATTGAATCTATAAATTACCTTGGGCAGTATGGCCATTTTCACGATATTGATTCTTCCTGCCCATGAGTATGGGATGTTCTTCCATTTGTTTGTATCCTCTTTTATTTCATTGAGCAGTGGTTTGTAGTTCTCCTTGAAGAGGTCCTTCACGTCCCTTGTAAGTTGGATTCCCAGGTGTTTTATTCTCTTTGAAGCAATTGTGAATGGGAGTTCACTCATGATTTGGCTCTCTGTTTGTCTGTTATTGGTGTGTAGGAACGTTTGTGATTTTTGCACATTGATTTTGTATCCTGAGACTTTGCTGAAGTTGCTTATCAGCTTAAGGAGATTTTGGGCTGAGACGATGGGGTTTTATAAATATACAATCATGTCATCTGCAAACAGGGATAATTTGACTTCCTCTTTTCCTAATTGAATACCTTTTATTTCCTTCTCCTGCCTGATTGCCCGGGCCAGAACTTCCAATACTATGTTGAATAGGCGTGGTGAGAGAGGGCATCCCTGTCTTGTGCCAGTTTTCAAAGGGAATGCTTCCAGTTTTTGCCCACTCAGTATGATATTGGCTGTGGGTTTGTCATAGAGAGCTCTTACTATTTTGAGATACGTCCCATCAGTACCTAATTTATTGAGAGTCTTTAGCATGAACAACTGTTGAATTTTCTCAAAGACCTTTTCTGCATCTATTGACACAATCATGTGGTTCTTGACTTTGGTTCTGTTTATATGATGGATTACATTTATTGATTTGTGTATGTTGAACCAGCCTTGCATTCCAGGGATGAAGCCGGCTTAGCAATGGTGGATAAGCTTTATGATACCCTGCTGGATTCTGTTTGCTAGTATTTTATTGAGGATTTTTGCATCGATGTTCATCAGGGATATTGGTCTAAAATTCTCTTCTTTTGTTGTGTCTCTGCCAGGCTTTGGTATCAGGATGATGCTGGCCTCATAAAATGAGTTGGGGAGGATTCCCTCTTTTTCTACTGATTGGAATAATTTCACAAGGAATGGTATCAGCTCCTCTTTGTACCTCTGGTAGAATTCGGCTGTAAATCCATCAGGTCCTGGACCTTTTTTGGTTGCTAAGCTATTAATTATTGCCTCTATTTCAGAGCCTGTTATTGGACTATTCAGGGATTCAACTTCTTCCTGGTTTAGTCTTTGGAGGGCATATGTGTCCAGGAATTTATCCATTTCTTCTAGATTTTCTAGTTTAGTTGTGTAGAGGTGTTTACAGTATTCTCTGATGGTAGTTTGTATTTCTGTGGGATAATGGGTGGTATCCCCTTTATCATTTTTTATTGCGTCTATTTGATTCTTCTCTCTTTTCTTCTTTATTAGTCTTGCTAGCCATCTATCTATTCTGTTGACTGTTTCAAAAAACTATTTCCTGGATTAATTGATTGTTTGAAGGGTTTTTTGTGTCTCTATCTCCTTCAATTCTGCTCTGATCTTAGTTATTTCCTGGTTTCTGCTAGCTTTTGAATGTGTTTGCTCTTGCTTCTCTAGTTCTTTTAATTGTGATGTTAGGGTATCGATTTTAGATCTTTCCTGCTTTCTCTTGTGGGCATTTAGTGCTATAAATTTCCCTCTACATACTGCTTTAAATGTGTCCCAGAGATTCCAGTATGTTGTGTCTTTGTTCTCATTGGTTTCAAAGAACATATTTATTTCTGCCTTCATTTCATTATTTACCCAGTAGTCATTCAGGAGCAGGTTGTTCAGTTTCCCTATAGTTGAGCAGTTTTGAAAGAGTTTCTCAATCCTGAGTTCTAATTTGATTGCACTGTGGTCTGAGAGACAGTTTGTTATAATTTCTTTGCTTTTACATTTGCTGAGGAGTGCTTTACTTCCAACTATGTAGTCAATTTTGGAATAAGTGCGATGTGGTGCTGAGAAGAATACATATTCTGTTGATTTGTGGTGGAAAGTTCTGTAGATGTCCAGTAGGTCCGCTTGGTGCAGAGCTGAGTTGAAGACCTGGATATCCTTGTTAACTTTCTGTCTCGTTGATCTGTCTAATGTTGACAGTGGAGTGTTAAAGTCTCCCATTGTTATTGTGTGGGAGTCTAAGTCTCTTTGTAGGTCTCTAAGGGCTTTCTTTATGAATCTGGGTGCTCCTGTATTGGGTGCACACATATTTAGGATAGTTAGCTTTTCTTGTTGAATTGATCCCTTTACCATTATGTAATGCCCTTCTTTGTCTCTTTTGATCTTTGTTGGTTTAAAGTCTGTTTTAACAGAGACTAGGATGGCAACCTCTGCCTTTTTTTGTTTTCCATTTTCTTGGTAGATCTTCCTCCATCCCTTTATTTTGAGCCTATGTGTGCCTCTGCACGTGAGATGGGTCTCCTGAATATAGCACACTGATGGGTCTTGACTCTTTATCCAACTTGTCAGTCTGTGTCTTTTAATTGGGGCATTTAGCCCATTTACATTTAAGTTTAATATTGTTATGTGTGAATTTGATCCTGTCATTTTGATGTTAGCTGGTTCTTTTGCTCGTTAGTTGGTGCAGTTTCTTCCTAGCATCGATGGTCTTTACAATTTGGCATGTTTTTGCAGTGGATGGTACCAGTTGTTCCTTTCCATGTTTAGCGCTTCCTTCAGGAGCTTTTGTAAGGCAGGCCTGGTGGCGACAAAATCTCTCACTACTTGCTTGTCTGTAAAGGATTTTATTTCTCCTTCACTTATGAAGCTTAGTTTGGATGGATATGTAATTGTGGGTTGAAAATTCTTTTCTATAAGAATGTTTAATATTGGGGAGCCAAGATGGCCGAATAGGAACAGCTCCAGTCTACAGCTCCCAGCATGAGCAATGCAGAACACGAATGATTTCTGCATTTCCAACTGAGGTGCCGGGTTCATCTCACTGGGCATTGTCGGACAGTGGGTGCAGGACAGTGGGCGCAGCGCACTGAGCGGGACCCGAAGCAGGGCGAGGCATCGCCTCACCCGGGAAGTGCAAGGGGTCAGGGAATTCCCTTTCCTAGCCAAGGAAAGGTGTGACAGATGGCACCTGGAAAATCGAGTCACTCCCAACCTAATACTGCGCTTTTCCAACAGTCTTAGCAAATGGCACACCAGGAGAATATATCCCGCGCCTGGCTCGGAGAGTGCTACACTGACTGACGGAGCGTCACTCATTGCTAGCACAGCAGTCTGAGATCAAACTGCAAGGCAGCAGTGAGGCTGGAGGAAGGGCGCCTGCCATTGCTGAGGCTTGAGTAGCTAAAAAAAGCGGCTGGGATGTTCGAACTGGGTGGAGCCCACCACAGCTCAAGGAGGCCTGCCTGCCTCAGTAGAATCCACCTCTGGGGGCAGGGCATACCCAAACAAAAGGCAGTAGAAACCTCTGCAGACTTAAATGTCCCTGTCTGACAACTGTGAAGAGAGTAGTGGTTCTCCCAGCATGGAGTTTGAGATCTGAGAATGGACTGACTGCCTCCTCAAGTGGGTCCCTGACCCCTGAGTAGCCTAAATGGGAGGCACCCCCCAGTAGGGAAAAACTGACACCTCACACAGCTGGGTACTCCTCTAAGACAAAACTTCCAGAGGAACGATCAGGCAGCAACATTCGCTGATCACCAATATCCACTGTTCTGCAGCTTCCGCTGCTGACACCCAGGCAAACAGGGCCTGGAGTGGACCTCCGGCAAACTCCAACAGACCTGCAGCTGAGGGTCCTGACTGTGGAAGGAAAACTAACAAACAGAAAGGACATCCACACCAAAACCCCATCTGTACGTCGCCATCCTCAAATACCAAAGGTAGATAACAAAGATGGGGAAAAAACAAAGCAGAAAAATGGAAAATTCTAAAAATCAGAGCACCTCTCCTCCTCCAAAGGAACGCAGCTGCTCGCCAGCAATGGAACAAAGCTGGGTGGAGAATGACTTTGACGAGTTGAGAGAAGAAGGCTTCAGATGATCAAACTACTCAGAGCTAAAGGAGGAAGTTCTAACCCATGGCAAAGAAGTTAAAAACCTTGAAAAAAAATTAGACGAATGTCTAACTAGAATAACCAATGCAGAGAGGTCCTTAAAGGACATGATGGAGCTGAAAACCAAGGCACGAGAACTACGTGACGAATGCACAAGCCTCAGTAGCTGATTCGATCAACTGGAAGAAAGGGTATCAGTGATGGAAGATCAAATGAATGAAATGAAGTGAGAAGAGAAGTTTAGAGAAAAAAGAATAAAAAGAAATGAACAAAGACTCCAAGAAATATGGGTCTATGTAAAAAGACCAAATCTACGTCTGATTGGTGTACCTTAAAGTGAAGGGGTGAATGGAACCAAGTTGGAAAACAGTCTGCAGGATATTATGCAGGAGAACTTCCCCAATCTAGCAAGGCAGGCCAACATTCAAATTCAGGAAATACAGAGAATGCCACAAAGATACTCCTCGAGAACAGCAACTCCAAGACTCATAATTGTCAGATTCACCAAAGTAGAAATGAAGGAAAAAATATTAAGGGCAGCCAGAAAGAAATGTCGCGTTACCCACAAAGGGAAGCCCATCAGACTAATAGCGGATCTCTCGGCAGAAACTCTACAAGCCGGAAGAGAGTGGGGGCCAATATTCAACATTCATAAAGAAAAGAATTTTCAACTCAGAATTTCATATCCAGCCAAACTAAGCTTCATAAGTGAAGGAGAAATAAAATCCTTTACAAACAAGCAAGTGCTGAGAGATTTTGTCACCACCAGGCCTGCCCTAAAAGAGCTCCTGAAGGAAGCACTAAACATGAAAAGGAACAACCAGTACCAGCCACTGCGAAAACATGCCAAATTGTAAAGACCATCAATGCTAGGAAGAAACTGCATCAACTAACGAGCAAATAACCAGCTAACATCATAATGACAGGATCAAATTCACACATAACAATATTAACCTTAAATGTAAATAGGCTAAAAGCTCCAATTAAAAGACACAGACTGGCAAATTGGATAAAGAGTCAAGACCCATCAGTGTGCTGTATTCAGGAAACCCATCTCACGTGCAGAGACACACATAGGCTCAAAGTAAAGGGATGGAGGAAGATCTACCAAGAAAATGGAAAACAAAAAAAGGCAGAGGTTGCAATCCTAGTCTTGGATAAAACAGATTTTAAACCAATGAAGATCAAAAGAGACAAAGAAGGCCATTACATAATGGTAAAGGGATCAACAAGAAGAGCTAACTATCCTAAATATGTATGCACCCAATACAGGAGCACCCAGATTCATAAAGAAAGCCCTTAGAGACCTACAAAGAGACTTAGACTCCCACACAATAATAATGGGAGACTTTAACACCCCACTGTCAACATTAGACAGATCAACGAGACAGAGAGTCAACAAGGATATCCAGGAATTGAACTCAGCTCTGCACCAAGCGGACCTAATAGACATCTACGGAACTCTCCACCCCAAATCAACAGAATATACATTCTTCTCAGCATCACACCACACCTATTCGAAAATTGACCACATAGTTGGAAGTAAAGCACTCCTCAGCAAATGTAAAAGCAAAGAAATTATAACAAACTGTCTCTCAGACCACAGTGCAATCAAACTAGAACTCAGGATTAAGAAAGTCACTCAAAACCGCTCAACTACATGGAAACTGAACAACCCACTCCTGAATGACTACTAGGTACACAACGAAATGAAGGCAGAAATAAAGATGTTCTTTGAAACCAACGAGAACAAAGGCACAACATACCAGAATCTCTGGGACACATTCAAAGCAGTGTGTAGAGGGAAATTTATAGCACTAAATGCCCACAAGAGAAAGCAGGAAAAATCTAAAATGGACACCCTAACATCACAATTAAAAGAACTAGAAAAGCAAGAGCAAACACATTCAAAAGTTTGCAGAAGGCAAGAAATAACTAAGATCACAGCAAAACTGAAGGAAATAGAGACACAAAAAACCCTCAAAAAAATCAATGAATCCAGGAGCTGGTTTTTTGAAAAGACCAACAAAATTGACAGACCGCTAGAGCAAGACTAATAAAGAAGAAAAGAGAGAAGAATCAAATTGACGCAATAAAAAATGATAAAGGGGATATCACCACCGATCCCACAGAAATACAAACTACCATCAGAGAATACTATAAACACCTCTATGCAAATAAACTAGAAAATCTAGAAGAAATGGATAAATTCCTCAACACATACACCCTCCCAAGACTAAACCAGGAAGAAGTTGAATCTCTGAATAGACCAATAACAGGCTCTGAAATTGAGGCAATAATTAGTAGCCTACCAACCTAAAAAAGTCCAGGACCAGATGGATTCACAGCCGAATTCTACCAGAGGTACAAAGAGGAGCTGGTACCATTCCTTCTCAAACTATTCCAATCAATAGAAAAAGAGGGAATCCTCCCTAACTCATTTTATGAGGCCAGCATCATCCTGATACCAAAGCCTGGCAGACACACAACCAAAAAAGAGAATTTTAGACCAATATCCCTGATGAACATGGATGTAAAAATCCTCAATAAAATACTGGCAAACTGAATCCAGCAGCACATCAGAAAGCTTATCCACCATGATCAAATGGGCTTCATCCCTGGGATGCAAGGCTGGTTCAACATACGCAAATCAAACCACATGATTATCTCAATAGATGAAGAAAAGGCCTTTGACAAAATTCAACAGCCCTTCCTGCTAAAAACTCTCAATAAATTAGGTATTGATGGGACATATCTCAAAATAATAAGAGCTATCCAGGACAAATCCACAGCCAATATCATACTGAATGGACAAAAACTGGACGCATTCCCTTTGAAAACTGGCACAAGACAGGGATGCCCTCTCTTACCACTCCTATCCAACATAGTGTTGGAAGTTCTGACCAGGGCAATCAGGCAGGAGAAGGAAATAAAGGATATTCAATTAGGAAAAGAGGAAGTCATATTGTCCCTGTTTGCAGATGACATCCTTGTATGTCTAGAAAACCCCATTGTCTCAGCCCAAAATCTCCTTAAGCTGATAAGCAACTTCAGCAAAGTCTCAGGACACAAAATCAATGTGCAAAACTCACAAGTATTCTTATATACCAATAACAGACAAACAGAGAGCCAAATCGTGAGTGAATTCCCATTCACATTTGCTTCAAAGAAAATAAAATACCTAGGAATCCAACTTACAAGGGATGTGAAGGACCTCTTCAAGGAGAACTACAAACCACTGCTCAATGAAATAAAAGAGGACATAAACAAATGGAAGACCATTCCATGCTCATGGATAGGAAGAATCAATATCGTGAAAATGGCCATATTCCCCAAGGTAATTTATAGATTCAATGCCATCCCCATCTAGCTACCAACGACTTTCTTCAAAGAATTGGAGTAAACTACTTTAAAGTTCATATGAAACCAAAAAGGAGCCCGCATCGCCAAGTCAATCCTAAGCCAAAAGAACAAAGCTGGAGGCATCACGCTACCTGACTTCAAACTATACTACAAGGCTGCAGTAACCAAAAGAGCATAGTACTGGTACCAAAACAGAGATATAGACCAATGGAACACAATAGAGCCCTCAGAAATAATGCCACATATCCACAACCATCTGATCTTTGACAAACCTGACAAAAACAAGAAATGGGGAAAGGATTCCCTAGTTAATAAATGGTGCTAGGAAAACTGGCTAGCCATATGGAGAAAGCTGAATCTGGATCCCTTCCTTACACCTTATACAAAAATTAATTCAAGATCGATTAAAGACTTAAATGTTAGACCTAAAACCATAAAAACCCTAGAAGAAAACCTAGGCAATACCATTCAGGACATAGGCATGGGCAAGGACTTCATGTCTAAAACACCAAAAGCAATGGCAACAAAAGCCAAAATTGACAAATTGGATCTAATTAAACTGAAGAGCTTCTGCACAGCAAAAGAAACTACCATCAGAGTGAACAGGCAACCTACAGAATGGGAGAAAATTTTTGCAATCTACTCATCTGACAAAGGGCTAATATCCAGAATCTACGATGAACTCAAACAAATTTACAAGAAAAAAACAAACAACCCTATCAACAAGTGGGCATAGGATATGAACAGATACTTCTCAAAAGAAGACATTTATGCAGTCAACAGACAGATGAAAAAATGCTCATCATCACTGGCCATCAGAGAAATGCAAATCAAAACCACAATGAGATACCATCTCACACCAGTTAGAATGACGATCATTAAAAAGTCAGGAGACAACAGGTGCTGGAGAGGATGTATAGAAATAGGAAAGCTTTTACACTGTTGGTGGGACTGTAAACTAGTTCAACCATTGTGGAAGTCTGTGTGGCGATTCCTCAGGGATCTAGAACTAGAAATACCATTTGACCCAGCACTCCCATTACTGGGTATATACCCAAAGGATTATAAATCATGCTGCTATAAAGACACATGCACACGTATGTTTATTGTGGCACTATTCACAATAGCAAAGACTTGGAACCAACCCAGATGTCCAACAATGATAGACTGGGTTAAGAAAATGTGGCACATATACACCATGGAATACTATGCAGCCATAAAAATGGATGAGTTCATGTCCTTTGTAGGGACATAGATGAAGCTGGAAACCATCATTCTCAGCAAACTATGGCAAGGACAAAAAACCAAACACCACATGTTCTCACTCATAGGTGGGAATTGAACAATGAGAACACATGGACACAGGAAGGGGAACATCACACACAAGGCCTGTTGTGGGGTGGGGGGAGGGGGGAGGGCTAGCATTAAGAGATATACCTAATGTTAAATGATGAGTTAATGGGTGCAGAACACCAACATGGCACATGTATACATATGTAACAAACCTGCACGTTGTACACATGTACCCTAAAACTTAAAGTAAAATAAAAAAAAAGAATGTTTAATACTGGCCCCCACTCTCTTCTGGCTTGTACAGTTTCTGCTGAGAGATCAGCTGTTAGTCTGATGGGCTTCCCTTTGTGGTTAACCCGAACTTTCTCTCCAGCTGCCCTTAACATTTTTCCCTTCATTTCAACCTTGGTGAATCTGACAATTATGTGTCTTGGAGATGCTCTTCTCGAGGAGTAACTTTGTGGCGTTCTCTGTGTTTCCTGAATTTGAATGTTGGCCTGCCTTGCTAGGTTGGGGAAGTTCTCCTTCATAATATCCTGAATAGTGTTTTCCAACTTGGTTCCATTCTCCCTGTCACTTTCAGGTACACCAATCAAATGCAGATTTGGTCTTTTCACATAGTCCCATATTTCTTGGAGGATTTGTTCATTTCTTTTTACTCTTTTTTCTCTAAACTTCTCTTCTCACTTCATTTCATTCATTTGATCTTCAATCACTGATACCCTTTCTTCCACTTGACTGAATTGGCTACTGAAGCTTGTGCATGCATCACATAGTTCTCGTGCCATGGTTTTCAGCTCCACCAGGTTATTTAAGGTCTTCTCTATGCTGTTTATTCTAGTTAGCCAGTCTTCTAATCTTTTTTTCAAGGTTTTTAGCTTCCTTGCAATGGGTTCGAGCATCCTCCTTTAGCTCAGAGAAGTTTATTATTACCGATCTTCTGAAGTCTACTTCTCTCAACTCGTCAAAGTCATTCTCCGTCCAGCTTTCTTCTGATGCTGGCAAGGACCTGCGATCCTTTGGAGGAGAAGAGGCACTCTGGTGTTTAGAATTTTCAACTTTTCTGCTCTGGTTTCTCCCCATCTTTGTGGTTTTATCTACCTTTAGTCTTTGATGATGGTGACCTACAAATGGGTTTTGTTGTGGATGTTGTTTTTGTTGATATTGATGCCATTCCTTTCTGTTAGTTTTTCTTCTAACAGTCAGGACCCTTAGCTGTAGGTCTGCTGGAGCTTGCTGGAGGTCCACTCCAGACCCTGTTTGCCTGGGTATCACCAGCGGAGGCTGCAGAACAGCAAATATAATATTGCAGAAGAGCAAAGGTTGCTGCCTGATCCTTCCTCTGGAAGCTTTGTCTCAAAGGGGCTGCCAGCTGTTTGTGGTGTTAGTCAGCCCCTACTGGGAGATGTCTCCCAGTTAGCCTACTGGGGGGTCAGGGACCCACTTTAGGAAGCAGTCTGTCCATTCTCAGATCTCAAACTCCATGCACGGAGAACCACTGCTGTCTTCAAAGCTGTCAGACAGGGACGTTTAAGTCTGCAGAAGTTTCCGCTGCCTTTTGTTCAGCTATGCCCTGCCCCCAGAGGTGGAGTCTATACAGGCAGGCAGGCCTTGTTGAGCTGCGGTGGGCTCCACCTAGTTCGAGCTTCCCAGTTGCTTTGTTTACCTAGTCAAGCCTCAGCAATGGCAGATGCCCCTCCCCCATCCTCGCTGCCACCTCTCAGTTTGATCTCGGATTGCTGTGCTAGCAGTGAGCAAGGCTCCATGGGTGTGGGACCCGCCAAGCGAGGCGCAGGATATAATCTCCTGGTGCGCCTTTTGCTAAGACCATTGGAAAAGCGCTGTATTAAGGCGGGAGTGTCCTGATTTTCAGGTACCATCTGTCATGGCTTCCCTTGACTAAGAAAGGGATTCCCTGACCCCTAGTGCTTCCTGGGTGAGGCGATGTCCTGCCATTTTGGCTCACACTCTGTGGGCTGCACCCACTGTCCAACCAGTCCCAGTGAGATGAACTCGGTACCTCAGTTGGAAATGCAGAAATCACTCATCTTCTGGGTCGCTCATGCTAGGAGCTGTAGCCTGGAGCTGTTCCTATTCGGCCATCTTGGGTGGTTCCAGGTTGTGCGTTCTTTATGAGAATCTAATGCCTGATGATCTGTCACTGTCTTTCATGCCTCACATGGGACCATCTAATTGCAGGAAAACAAGCTCAGGGCTCCCACTCATTCTACATTATGGTGTATAATTATTTCATTACATATTACAATGTAATAATAATATAAATAAAGTGCACAATAAATGTAATGCACTTGAATCATCCCAAAACCATCCCCCACCTCAGCCCTGGTCCATGCAAAAAATGTTAATTTTGTTCACTTTCTCTGGTGCAAAAAGGTTGAGGACCACTGATCTAGATCATAATTTTTTTCATTTATTGTGATACTGTAAGCAATGGCCTGTACATGTCAAATTCCTCAGCATGGAAGAAGCAACTGCTACAAAAAAGCAAAAAGAGATTATCAGAGACAGCAACATAAAAATAGTCATTGGGCACACACTTCTCAATGATCTAGGTAAGGGCCTCACCAAAGAGATCTCTAGGTTTGGTTACCCAACAATAAGGACTCACAAAAGGAGATTAATGGGCTCTTCACCAGGGAACTCATGGTTTGGTGGTAGTGTGCCATTTTGGGCTCAATGGCAGCCTCCTAGGTTCTGCCCAGTGCTGGCCCCTATAACTAATACAAATGCTGCTCTCCTCTTCTACCATTGAATTTTGAAATGAATTAGAGAGCCCTGCCAATTTTTATGCAAATCTTTTGGCTTAAAAAAAAAAAACAGAAAACAAGACTATGACATGGCCAATGTCCCTATGTCCCCAGTGAGGAATGGAGGCCCTATATCAAAGTTAAAGTTCAAAGTGGACATGGAGAATTTCATTTCTTGGGCCTTTTGCATAATAGTGCACAGGCGACTGTGATCCCCAAAATCCCTGGCATGAGAATGAGGAGGAAATAGATAAGGTTCTCTGGTTTTCAGTTGGAGGCCACCACCACCAACATCCTGATCTGACTACAGGTAGGTCTCTTCAAGCCACTACATACTTCCATCATTATGGAACCCATTACTGAATGGGTTATTGTTATGACATATTGTCTATGTCTACCCCTGACTGTATTCACCCCCAGTCCCTGAGGCGAATTGTTGCAATTAGGACCATTTTTTTGGGGTATATGGAAGACTAAACCCACCAGACTACCAGAAGCTAGTGTCTTTGTCTCTTAAAAACACTATCAACTGTCTTGGGGATTAAAAAAAAAAAAAGTCTTCATTGCTGTGCTTAAGGAAGCCAAAGTTCACCATCTGGCCTTTTGCTTAAGGCATTGTGTGCCTGGAAAAGAATTGACTATTGGTGGCTCATGCCGTAGTTCTGTCTTTGGCACTGCTGTTACCTGATACTATGACTATCACAGAGGCTACTACCCAAGCTGAGGGAAATAGCTTTAAAGCAACTGACATTGTAAATGCCCTTTTCGGCATCCTTGTCCACAAAGATGATCAAGATCAGTCCGCCTTACATTAAATGGGCTGCATTACACCTTTAATGTCCTCCTCAAGGCTGTGACGTGAAAACAGCAACACTCCCAGATGAAGCACTGGCCTTCCACTATATTCATTTTGTCTGGGCCCAGACAAAAACACTACCCGGCAAGGGCTAGGTCACTCTCAGCTTTAGTCACTCTTAGCCCCAACAAGTAAAAGGAAAGCCCAGACTAGAGCTCTCAAATTCCCTTAACGGGCATCTTCATGACACCATCTATCAGGTTACCAATAAGACCTCTACCCTTAGGTGAAGCCTAAAGACAGGATGTTCTGGAGACCCTCCAGTGACCACATAGGTTGTTTTTCCCCTTGGCCTTCTCTGATACATTTTGTCATTTGAGTTACACATCTCACCAATCTCTCTGTTTGCCAATTAGAGTCTATGACAGAAGGATACTGCCACATGTCCCAAGGTTCCTGTTGAACACTTGGACTCATAATCTCCTACAGTTGGCTGAAAGCAAACACCCTTTGACAGACTAATGATTTTTATTGGATTTGGTGGACACCGAGCACATGAGCATGCCATAAAATAGTCTCAAGACCAGAAATTCCAACCAAATATTATATGGCTTTTGTTCTCTAGTTATTTTAAGGTATTCACACTGTAAAGTATAAAATTTCCATAAACTATATGCTCAACTACATAGTCATGAACCAAAGAAAAATGATCTAATGAGATTAACTTTAAAATTTTTAAGTTATCTATAATTATTATACTTACTACTATGTCTTTTCTCTCTAGGAAGTTTTTTGGTTTTTTCAATTTGCATTTCCAGTTTTGACACTGAATCTTGATGTTCAAGCACAAGATTTTTGCCTGGTTCTTCATCATGAGCTACATAAGGAGATGCATTTAGTCTCTTAATGGAAAAACAGACCTACTGTGAAATCTCTAGATTTCAAACTTGTAATTGTGTAGCAAAATTTTCTCATTTTGATAAATTTGTAAGTAAATTATCAGAAATCCAGATGTGACATGACTACTATAAGAACATTTTTAATGGGTGTGTGGTGAAGCTCATTATTTCATAACATTTCTAGGCATCTGATATATATTAGTCACTAGTTTCCTTATGTTATTTATACTTTAGGTTAATACATATTCACAGAAATAAAAATAAAAATGCATAGGTACAATGTTATTTATTATAGCATATATGTAATTGCAAAATAGTCAAAACTACATAAACTTTCAAGCAGAGGAGACTGGTTGAATAAACTGAGATATGTATATCCAGTAAGTCCTCACGTAATGTCATTGATAGAATCTTGGAAACTGTGACCTTAAGCAAAATGACACATAATGAAACCCATTTTGCCGTAGGCAAATTGACATAAACAAGAGTTAAGTTCTTACAGTATTTTTTTGGTAACAAAAACATCACAAACTTCTAAATAAAGACCCAAAACACTTCTAATAGTAAACACTAAAATAAATGTGAGCTATACACAGATTTAAGAAAAAATAATAAAAACAAGTGACAATTATTTACCCAATTTGTGGTTAATCAGTGAATGATGGTTGTCATAGTGGTGGTGAGTTAAGTCAAGGAATAAACTTCTTGATTTATTCAAAGGAATAAATCAAAAGCAAAGCAAAATTGTAAGGAGCATCTCCTCCCATCATATAATTTAAAAGCAATCACAAATATGGTGGCTTACAGAGTGCTTTTGTACTGCATTGTTTATTGTCTGCATTTGTATAATTATTGTATATGAATTTTTATTTTATAATAACTTGTATTCATTCATTCATTCACATGTTTTGCAGCCTACTTATCCCAGTTAAGGGTTGCAGCTGGTTGGAACATATCCTAGCAGCTCAGAGCACAAGGGGGGAGCCAGCCCTCGACAGAATGCTATGCCATATCAGGGCGCACTCAGACACATACCCACACTCACTCAGACAGGGACCATTTAGACACATCAATTTACCTAACATACATATCTTTGGAATGTGGGAGGAAATTGGAGCACCTGGAGAAAATTCATGCAGACACAGGGAGAATGTGCTAACTCCAGACCATGTGCCTGGCTAGGAATCAATTTTTTTTTCTTATTAACATTATAATCAAACAATGTTGAACAAAATGATGTTATTCAAGGACGTGCTGTATACCACACACTATGGTATAGTACATATGGTAAATAATGTGGTACAAACAACTGTAAGTGTAACTGTAAAACAAATTAAACATGTCTATAAATTGACCTGAAGGGATTTCAAAGAATAATGTGAAGGAAAAAAATACCTACGAAGGGGAAAACTTGAATGCCATCTTTGGGGAAGGAAGATGAAGAAATGAGAAAAAAAATAGAGAAGGAAATAGAGAGATAGTTATCTTTACAAAAAGAAGCAGAGGAGAGATATAAGAAACAATGTTATTGGTTACCTACAAAATGAGGGAGAGGACTGGGGAAGAAAATATACTCCTCTAAGTATAACTTTTTGCATATATATTGTTTTACTTTCAAAAGTAGTTTCATGTCCTACAATTTCAAAAACAAAATTAAATCAACAAGGAAAAGAAGGTGGGGTGAAAATTAAAAGGAAATAATGAAATGAAATCATTGAAGAAAAAATAAAAGCAGTAACTCATCAATATAGTATTTGACATAAACCCTCACTATTGGACATGAGAGGTGGAGGTGGAGTGTAAACAAATCATGAAATCTTTTTAGTTGTTGTTCTAGTATGTGTTAAGCAATCTGAACTCAATTTGAGAGGAATTAGAATAGGGAGCAAATAGCTAAAGGTATTCATGTGGTTCAGAGCTCCAGCTAACTCAGCCTCAGGGTCCATAAAATGGAAAACAGCTTCTTGTTTGGGACTCCTTCCACCATGAGACAACCCCATCCCATGCCCACTCACACAGTCTACACTGATGCATCTGACCCTTGCTAAGTGCTTTTCTGTGGGGTAAAATGGGACACTGGTAGAGCTGGGGACCTGCCTCTATCTAGGCTATGGCTTTTAATATGCTAGTAAGTGAATAAGGTTAATTGTTACTTTGAGTTTGGCATGTTATCTTAATAGACCAACTCAAAAACTGGCATTTCTGTTTCTAACAAACTACCACAAAGAGCAGGGTGGTCAATGAAGCACAAAGCCTTTCTGGAAGGAACACTTTGGTAGGTACTAGTGAGCCTGCAGGACACTCTCAGTGGAAGGGTGATGGGGAGGCTACTGGATCAATTGCAAGAGACTCAACATCCCACAGGGCACTCTGCCAGTCATGTCAATCAATCATCTCTTAGAAAGTGCCAGCAGACACCATGCGGTTTTCTAGAATGCTAATGTATTATTTACATGAGCTTTTCAATTCTGACATGGAACAATAGTCTCTTTATCCTCTGATTCACATACCAAGATATCCAGTGAGTCAATTGAAAAATCCAGCAGATGGGCTCTGAGAAAGCTAGGGAAGCAATTTTGTGGTTATTGCTCCTGGCCCTAAGTCAATGGGCTCAAAAAAGTTGGAGACTCTGCACACTGAGTTGTACCTAATGACTATTCTTAGCCCTAGGCACTCCCCTAAAAATGGTGGACAGCCTGTAATGCAGTCAGTTATTGAGACTCATGCTTTAATGAAAAACAATGCAGAGTCCTGATGATCATTTTGCCCAGCAACTAAGAGATGTGGGTAGTGTGCCTTCACAATAAAGCAATAATCTTGTTTAACTTAGGGAGTGAAAGGGGCATATTGTGGAGCTTATCACTACAGAATGCCTCCTTAAGAGAATCTTGACAGTGCCCATATTGCCTAAGGAAGTGGAGGAAAGGGGGACGAATGATGTAAACATCTGAAACCCTCTCCTTCCTCAGTTGGGAACTATTTTTGGCTCTGACAGGATTGCCCACCCATGACATGTTCCCTGCTACTGGAAAACATGTTTGGGCCATCATCTGCAGAGGCTACAATGGCCCCTTGAGGCACTCCGCTGTCTCTAAGGTCACTGATGGAGTGAGGACAGTTGTGTTCCCTGCTACTGGAAAACATGTTTGGGCCTTCATCTGCAGAGGCTGTAATGGCCCTTGAGCCATTCCGCTGTCTCTAAGATCACTGATGGAGTGAGGACAGTAATGACAAGATTTAACCAGATTTAGATGTCTAGTTTCATTTCATAGCCTTTACTAGCTCAATTAAACCTCCTTATAAGATAATGTCAATTAATTTGTGGCACAATTCAGATCTTAACTGACAAATTTCTGGGCATAGAAAAAGCATCTACCACCAAGATAGCAATGTGTGACCAGTGAACAGTGTGACCTAAAAATGGTAATTTGGCACCCATTCCTGGGTGATCTAGTTAAGGGCTCTCCCCAAGAAATATCTGAGTCTAGTTAATCAATGATGGAATCTGAAGTAGGACACTGATGGACTTTTCACCAAGAACCTCCTGGCCAGGTAGTGGGCCATGGGTACCAACACATAGCCCTACTAAATCCAGAATGCGATGACCCCATGACTAATAAAAGTGCTCTTCCCTTTGCACCTCCCAGTGATATTGAAATCAATCAGAGAACCCTCCACTACTTTTGCTCAAACTTCATGCTCTCGAAAATAAAGAAAATTAAGAGTTAGGCCAAGATCCCCATGTTACCAGTGGTAATCTGAGAATGTATCGTAAGGTCAGAATTTAAAGGGAAGGTGGGAAGAAATTGCATTTCTAGGGCCATTAGGATACTGGTGCACAGGTGGCTGTGATCCCCACAACCTCTGACACCAGGAACTGGGGAAAAGAAGTAATGCTCTCTGGTTTTGCATCTGAGGACACCACCAAAATGACCCTTGGTCAAACACTACCATGAGAGTATCCTTTCGGACAACTGCAAAACTCCATTTTATTCCCCTCCCCCACCAAATGTATTGTTGGTATAGATGTATTTTCTATGTGAACCCCCACTTGCATTCATCCCAGTCCCTGATGGAAACTGAGGCATTTAAGGTCATTTTAGTGGGGCATATGGAAGAATGTAAATATCCAGATTAACAGCACCTAGCACCTTTGTTTCCCAGAATAGCTTCCTAGGAAGAAACAGAAAGGCTGTTGTCATTTGTTGAGCTTAATGAAGCAAAAGTTCTCTATAAGACTATTTCTCCATTCAATAACTAAGTAGATCTTGTACACACCCTCAGGTGCATAATGACTCAATTGATTTTGCTGGTCCAATGCTATATTACAGCCCTGGCCACCAAAGACACAAGTGACTACAGTTGTCATACAGGATATTTTCCAAACTGAGGGAACTTGTTTGCAACAACTGACACCTCAAATGCCTGTCCATATCTTTTTTTCACTTAGATGTTCAGATTAACCTTATATAGAATAAGTTGGAAAACATAACTAATATCCTTCCACAAGGCTACCAAACTGCTCTAATATCTGTCATCAATGCATAATGACCTCTAAATGGCCTGCTCCCAAGGGGAGGACTAGCCTTTCATTATATTGATTATATCATTTAAGTGGACTCAAGCAAGGAAATCTCCCAAAAGGACTGGATGCTCTAATGACTCACCAGTGGCTCTTAACTGGGCCATTAGTTCAGACAAGATACAGTTACTTAGTACCTGGATAAAATGCCTAGGATTGATTTCTAAGGGGTGACATCTCATTCCAGAGGAGACTGCCAAGCTTTGATCCTTTCTGGTCTAACAAATAAAAATAAGCCCAGGCTAGGTGCAACGGCTCACACCTGCAATGCCAGCACTTTGGGAGGCCGAGGCGGGTGGATCATTTGAGGTCAGGAGTTCGAGACCAGCCTGGCCAACATGGTGAAACTCTGTCTCTACTAAAAATACAAAAATTAGGCAGACGTGGTGGTGTGTGCCTATAATCTCAGCTACTCAGGAGGCTGAGGCAGGAAAATCACTTGAGCCCGGGAGGCGGAGGTTGCAGTGAGCCAAGATCGGGCCACTGCACTCCAGTCTGGGCAAGAAAGTGAGACCGTGTCTCAAAAAAAAAACACAAGCCCAGCAGTTACTGGAACTGTTTCGATAAATACACTCTCATTTTCCCTATGTGGGATCCTTGATGACATTCATTCATCTATGGGGTTACCAGAAATTCTGTTTCATTTCAGTGGGGCCATGACCAAAAGGATGCCCTAGAGTCCCTTAAACAGGTGTCCTAGGTTACCTTTCCCTAGGTTATTATGATCCCCATTTGCTGTTTTGAGTTGCAGATCTTAGCAATATCTTTGCTGATTGGTGCCTATGGAAGAAGGCCACAGGTGAGAGGTGCCCATTAAGTTTTTGGGCCCATAATTACTTTCAGTTGGCTGAAAGGCACACTACTTTGGAAAGACAATTATACATTTGTTATAAAGCCTTGGGGGATACTGTGTGTCCTGTGGTCATGAAATAATCTAAGGGCCAGAAATCTCTCAACCAAAATGTATCAATATTTTTCACTTTTTTCTTTAATTATGGTAGGGTATTCACATTTTAGTCAAAGTGTAAAACTTTTGTGAATCAAAGCAAAAATACCTTCGGATGAACTTACTTTTAAATAATTTAAAGTTATCTTTACTTTTTATACTTACTAATAATTCTTTGCCCTTTGAGAGTTCTTTGTTCCTTCACTTGCATTTCTGATTTTGACATTGAGTCTTGATGCCTAAGTATAAGATTTTCATTTGGTTCTTTATCAGGAGCTACAGAAAAAGATGTGTTTAGTCCGCTAAATTACAAATAAATCCATTTGAAATCTGTAGATTTCAAATTTACGAATGTGCAGTGGCATTTTCTCTCATTTTTGTAAAGTTATGAATAAATTACCATAATGCTATATCTACTATGAAAATGGTGAGAAGAGTTTCAATGGGTGTGTGTTGAAACTATCTCACCATATCAATATTCCTGCACTTTGAATATGTTTTATCTTAGTCTCTGGCTTTCTTAGGTTTTTTATATTTTCAATTAATAAGTATACATAGACCAAACAATGAAAATGCATATGCACCAAGTTATTCATTACAGCATAATTGCAAATACTCAAAACCACCTAAATATACAAGCATAGATCTGTTGAGTAAAGCATATAAACTATGACAATATCAACTATGGGCTATAATGTGGTCCAAAAAACTGTACATACAGTTACAAAAGGAATGAAAAAGATCCCTACAAACTGACTTGGTGATATTTCTATGAAATAATGTTTAGTGGAAAAAAACCAAAAGGGAGAATATCTAGTATACTATCTTTTAGGTAAGACAGAAGAGGAAATAAGAAAAATATGGGGAGATATCTATCTTTATTAAATAAACACAGAAAGATAAACCAGAAAACAAAGTAGTTTGTTACCAAGTCACTGCAAACACTGCTTGCTGAGTGGCACCCAATAACTATTGTTAACTCTAAATATGTCCCTGGCATGAACAGACAGCCTATGATGACACATTGTTTGAGATTTATATTAAATTTGAAAGAATAAAGATCTCTCAGGTTCACCTCACCAGTGACCTGAGGAGTTTATAGGAACTTGAATAGTTTGCTTCTACCATAAAGGAGGTAAGCGTGTTAAGATAGTGTGCGACAGTGGCACCGTGTATAGTGTGTCACAACAGAGCCCCTCATTCTGAGTGCCCTAAAAGTGTCCAAGGAAGATGAGGAAGGGTGGCAGGGAAAAAAAAGAGATATGAACACTAGAGGCACTCTCCTTTCTCTATAGGCTATCATTTGTTCTCTGAAAGTTTGGCCCACTCATGATGAGTTCCCTGACACTGCAAGCATTGTCTAGTTACTCAACAATGAAGTCTCAAAGAAGAGCTTGATGGACTCCCCACTAAGGATCTTCTGGCCAGGCAGTAGGGCATAGGGCCAACATACAGCCCCACTAGAGTCAAAATGGTGACGATACCTATAACACATGTGCTATTTCCTCTACCCATCACAGTGATCTTAAGATGAATCAGAGAACATGGTCTGTGTTTACCCAGAAGTCTCAGCTTTCAAAACAAAACAAAATTAGGGGTTAGACCAACGTCCCTATTTCCACAGTGGCACCTGAGGATGTATACCAAGTCAGAGTTCAAAGAGGTCATAGTGTAGAATTACATAACTCACATCATTTGAATACTAGTTTACCAATGATTTATCTCCACAATCTCTGACACCAGGATGAGGGTGAAACAGATAATGCTATATGGTGTGAGGTCTGAAGCCACCAAAAACATGACCCTTACCCAAACACAACTATGGGTGGGTCCCACTGGGCCACTACAAACCTCCATTTTTATGACTCCCTCTACTGAATATATTATTGATATAGATGTATCTTCTGTGTGAATCCCCAATCACATCAGCCTCAAGCCCTAAGGGGAACTACTGTGGTTAAGGTCATTTTAGTGAAGCATGTGGAAGACTGTAAACTTACTAAACCACAAGTGTCTAGAGATTGGTCTCCAAAAATTGCCTGAGGGAGAAATAGAAATCACTGCCCTTATTGCTCAGCTCTTCATGATCATGAATCCAAAGATGTTCATGAGACTATTTCTCCATGCAATAATTAAGTTAGCTTGTGTGTATCACCTTGGGTGCCTATAAACTCCATTGATTATGGGAAGCTTAATGCTATGGTACTTCTTAGAACACTGATATGACCTGACATTGTGACTGTCCATAAAGGTAATTACCCAAGCTGAGGGAAGTAGGTATAAAGCAATTGACATAGCAAATGCCCTTTTCAGCATTCCTGTCCACACAGATGATCAGGAACAGTTTGTCTTATATGGAACAGGTTGCAACACATCTTTAAAATCCCTCCACAAAACCATGATCTGGAAACAGTTCTGTTCCTATTAACCTTCTACGACGTTGATGACTCCCTACTGGTAGGCCCAGGCAAGTCCACTATCCAGCAAGGACTGGATGTTGTATTGGCCCACATGCAGCAACATGGCTGGGCCATTAATACATAAAAAGTACAAAGACCTTGTTACCCAAGAGGAATTCCTGGGAGTAAACTAGAAAGGGGAAACATGTCTCACTCCTGAGGAGGTAACTGTCAAACTATGGTCCCTCTCTATTACAACAAATACACAAGAGGCCAAGCAACTTGTGAACCTATTCTGCTACTGGCAGTTCCCTTGATGGAATCCTGATTGCAATCATTTTAAAGTTACCAAAAAGGCCTCTACCCTGGAGCAGGCCCCAACCAACAGAATGCCCTCGAGTCCATCCAACAGGCCTCCTATGCTATTGTTCCCCTTAGCTCCTCTGATCTTTATTTGAGTTACAGGTCTTGGCAAACTTTCTGTTCACTGATTGATGCCAAATGGAAACAGCTTACTGAACAGGTCAGTGGAATAAATTGGGCTTTTGGACCTGTAACTTCCTAGAGTTGGATAAAAGGTACACACTCTTTGAAAGACAATTATTGGCCTGCTATTGTCCTTGGTGAATACTGAGCACATGATCATGGCTACAAAATACCGTTACAACAAGAAATACTAACTGCCAAGTGATAAATACTCTAGCTTTTGTTCTCTAGTTATCTTATGGTATTCATACTTTAGGTTCAAGGTAAAATTTCTGTAAATTCAAGATTCATGAACTGAAGAAAAATACCTTTGCTGTGACTAATTTAAAATAATGTAAAGTTATGTGTAATTTTTATACTTACTGGTGAGTGGTTGCTCTGTAGAAGTTTCTTGTTTCTTTATTTGTAATTTGGTTTTTGACAATGATTCTTGATGCTCAACTACAAGCCTTTCATTTGGTACTTCATTATGAGCTACATAAAGAAAATACATTTATTCCACTAAATAGAAAAATGGATCTTTTGTGAAATTTCTGTGTTTCAAATTTATAAAACATTTACATGAGCATTCTCAGTCACTTCTACAAAGTTATAACTAAATTACAATAATAATAGATTTGATGAGAAAATGCTGAAAAGAATTTTAATGGCTGTATGTTGATGCTTTCTCACTTTATAAACATTTCTAGGAATCATATATAGTTAGTCTATATTTTTCCTAGGTTCTTTATATTGTATAGATCATATAGATGTCATAAACCAAACAATAAAAATACATATGTACAAGTTTATCATTATGGCATTATTTGTAATTACAAAATACTCAAAACCACATAAATGTTCAAGCATTGGATATTGGTTGAATAAGCCAATGTATATACCATAAAGTTCTAGGGGTGTCCAAGGGAGAGAATACAGTCATGGATTCTTAGTTTCTGCTTCTGGTTGAGCCAGTAAAGCCCCTTTCTCATTCCTCTTTTCTGCTTATCACTAGAGACAGAAACTAAAAACCATGGCTTTGGGCTGCTAAAAGCCTAAAACAAAACAGACCAGAATGACAACAACAAAATAAGGCAGGTTGGACAAGCTTGCTATAAACTATAGTATAATGAAAGTTATGGTTAATAATGTGGTACAACAGCTATACATAGAGTTGTAAAAGCAATTTAAAAAATCTCTATAAACTGACCTGTAGGGATTTCCAGGAGATAATGTTAAGTGAAAAAAAAAAAATCCAAAAAAGAGAAAACTTGTATGCCACCGTTAGGTAAGGAAGAAGGATTAAAAAAAAGAAAGAAAGGAAATTAGAAAGATACTTAGCTTTACAAAATGAAACAGGTGAAATGTAAGAATACAATATAGTTGATTACCTACAAGATGAAGGAGGGTGAACTAGGGAAGGAATGGAACTTCTCTAAGTATACCTCGCATATTTTTTACTTTTGGAATCAGTTTCAGGTTTCGTATATTTCAAAAAAAAAAAAAATTAAATTAAATCACAAAGGATAAGAAGAAACTAAAACTGAAAGCAAACTTAGTGAACCTATTAAAGAGAAAAAACTCATACAGGTAAATCATCAATACGATATTTAACATATGCCCTAATACTTGGACAAGTGTGTGGAGAAGAGACGGTACACACATCACAAAATATTTTCAGTAGGTTTGTTTTTCTAGAAGTATGTGCTAAGCAATTCTAAAATAATTTTGGAACTGCAATACAATCCAGATTTTAAGACCAACATGGCTGACTAGAAGCAGCTAGTGTGAACTGCTTTCACAGGAGAGAAGACAGAGTGGCAAGTAAACTTACAAATTTATAAGTGGCAAGTGGCTCTTCAACTGGATCATCCAGGAGGCCACCTTGGGATTCATCAAGGAAATAGTGGTGACCCATGGAGAGCAGAGAGGAGTGAGACAGGACAGCAACCTGCCTGGGATTGGCACAGAGCCAGGGAAGGCTCCCCACCATGGGGAAAGAGTGAGTGCTTGAGAGCCCCTGGGGACACATACCTCTGCCATGAACCTTTGCAAACCTAGGCACAAGAGATCCTGCCCAACCCTACTCCCTGGGGCCCCCAGACTGACACAGAAAGCTGCATGGAGTCTCCGCAGAGCCGCTATTCAGGCCCATGTGGAGCTCCAAGGGCTTTGGATTCCTGAGCACCCTGGGACCAGCTGCCATAGCTCTGCCAAGAAGGGAGGCAGGGATCTCCCATGCGCCCCAGGATAAGGGCCCCATCTAGGATACTGAAATGTGGACAGACTGGAGGCCTCACCTCTGGGGCACCTTGCCAAGCAAAGCCAATCGGCCTAGGTCCCCAGCACAGCAACCCACCTCACCCCACCCCCCAACCTGATCACTTGGGCTGGCTGCAGCTCTGCATTTCTCTGAGGCAGAGATTCCAGAGGTAACACAATAGGCCCACAGCTTTTGCCACTGCCATAGTCTCCCCAGTCCCCATTGCCCTGAGGATAGAGAGACAGTATAGAGCTCAAAAGCTATCTCGTGCCTCCAACATGCAACACGTGCCATAAAGAAAAACAGCCACACTGCTTTTCATGCAGGTCCCAGGCCTTGCTACTCCTTACTAAGCAGGGCCTTCCGACCTTGGCCCTCAATGCAGCCACCCTACTTCTGCCTGATCACTTCCGTCTGTGGCAGCTCTGTGTTTCTCTGGGGTGGAATTCCCATTGGCAATTGGCAACAAGCCCCTCTGCCATTGCTGCTGCAGCAGTACTCACCAGCAGGGTGAAAGATCTCTACAGTGAGAATTACAAAGCACTGCTAAAAGAAATCAGAGATGACACAAAGAAGTGGAAAAACATTCCGTGCTCATAGACAGGAAGAATCAATATTGCTAAAATTGCCATACTACTCAAAGCAATTTACATATTCTATGCTATTCCTATCAAACTACAGAATAAGAAAAACCTATTCTAAAATTCATATGGAGCAATAAAGAGCCCAAATAGCCAAAGCAATCTTCAGCAAAAAGAACAAAGCCCAAGATAGCACACTACAGAATTTCAAACTACTCTACAAGGTTACAGTAACCAAAACAGCATGGTAGTGGTATAAAAACATACACATAGACCAAGGAAATGGGTTAGAGAACTCAGGAATAAAGCCACACACCTACAACCATCTGATCTTCGACAAAGCTGGCAAACCAAGCAACAGGGAAAGGACTTTCTATTCAGAAAGTTGTGCTAGGATAACAGGCTAGCCACATGCAGTAGACTGAAATTGGACTGCTTCCTTTCACCACATAAAAAAATAAACTCAAGATGAATTAAAGACTTAAATGTAAAATTCAAAAATATAAAACTCTGAAAATTAACCTAGGGAATATCATTCTGGATGTAGGACTTGGCAAAGATATCATGAGAAAGATGCCAAAAGCCACTGCAATAAAAACAAAAATTAACAAATAGGATCTAATTAAACTAAAGAGCTTCTGCAGAGCAAAAGAAACTATCAATAGAGCAAATAGACAACCTACAGAATAGGAGAAAATATTCTCAAACTATGCATCTAACAAAGGTGTAATATCCAGAATCTATAAGGAATTTAAACTAATCAACAAGCAAAAACCAAAGAACCCCATTAAAAATGGGCAAAGAACATGAACAGACACTTATCAAAAGAAGATATACATGCTGCCAACAAGCATAGGAAAAATGCTTAACATCACTAATCATTAGAGAAATGCAAATCAAAACCATAATGAGATACCATCTCACACCAGTCAGAATGGCTACTACTAAAAAGTCAGAAATAAGAGATGCTGGTGAGGTTGTAGAGAAAAAGGAAGGCTTTATACATTGCTGATGGGAATGTAAATAAGTTCAGCCACTGTGGAAAACAGTTTGGAAATTTCTCAAAGAACTTAGAACTACCATTTGATCCAGCAACCCCGTTACTGGGAATGACCCCAAAAGAATATAAATCATTTTACCATAAAGACACATGCATGTGCATGTTCATCACAGCACTATTCACAGTAGCAAAGACAGAATCAACCTAGATGCCTGCTCATCAACAGTGGACTGAATAAAGAAAATGTGGTACATGTACACCATAAATTGTATCCTTTGCAGCAACATTGATAAGGCTGGAAGGAAATTATCCTAAGGACATTAACACAGGCACAGAAAACCAAATGCCACATGTTCTCTCTTGTAAGTGGGTACACTTAAACATTGAGTACACATGGACACAAAGAGGGGAAAAATAGACACCAGGGCTTACTTGAGGGTGGAGGGTAGGCAGAGTGTGAGGACTGAAAAACTACCTATTGGGTACTATGCTCACTACCTTGGTGACAAAATCATTTGTACATCGAACTCCAGCAATACACAATATAGCCATGTAATAAACCTGCAAGTGTACCACTTGAACCTAAAATAAAAGTTGAAAAATAATAATGATGCTGATACAATTGGGTAATTGTGTTGTGGATTAGTCAGGATTCGCACAGTAGAAGAAAGAATATATATATATATGAAATGGAGAAAGACAAGAACAACCTCTGAGAAAATGAACTGGAATTTAAGGTGTCCAAGAGATTTGCCATGAATTCTAAATATGACTTTACAGGTCTATATCCATGTTTATATGCACATATATATGTATGCAGATGTGTGTATGAAGCTGTGTGTGTGTGTGTGTGTGTGTGTGTGTGTGTGTGTGTGTGTGTGTATACATATAAATACACTGAAGAATCCAACTTCAGGCCAACCCTGCTTTTGTGTGATCTTTCAGGTCCAATTATGGACAGTTACAAAGGCACTACCTGGCAATTATCATAGAGATTCCCAACACAAAAGAGACTTGAGGTAAGATTTGTGTACTGCAGGCATAGGAGGTAGTCGCAGTCTTGAATCAACTCCTCTCCCCTTGGCCAACCAGGCTCTTGGGCATATAACATTTTTAGTCTAATCGCCTTAAGTTGAAAACCTCTTTATAGGGGAAGGTGGGGGCTTGACTGTATTGTTCAGACAGTAGCTGTATTGTGACAAACAATGACTGTATTGTTCAGTCAGTGCGTCTGGCCAGACCACCTATGGTGTGAAGTAGTGGGGTAGAGGAAATCCTTAAAGAAACTTTTCTCAGTTCTGACTCAATATTCTGGACTTAACCAATCCTAGCCTTCCCCAGCACTACCTCCCACAGACACAGGTCCAGTCAATTGGCCCACCACAAAATTCAGATATTAACTGACAAATTACTAGGCTGAAATAGCAGCTACTTCCAGCACAGCAATTACTTACTAGCTGAGAGAGTGATGAAAAAAAGTAGTAACTGAGGACTAATTCCTGGAAAATCTGAGCAAAGGCTTTCTTGAAGAGATCTTTTGTTAATGAAAACGGAATCTCAAAGGTGGAGACTGATGGGGCTCTCCAGGAAAGCACTCAGGGACATGTAGTAACCAAGGGGTGCTCACTGACTAGCGTACACATTGTAATAGTTCCTATGACTAAAACAAGTGTTATCACTCAGCTTCTTCCAGTGAATCTTTAAATGAGTCAGAGAGCCTGGTGAAATTTTCCCCAAATTCTCTCAGTTTTCAAAAGTGAACAAAAATATGGAGTAGATCAGGTCCTTATGTCCCCATTACCCAAGGACCTCTGCTAAGAAAAGTAATGAATTGGGAGATGGGAAAGAAGTACATTTTTTAAGCATTTTGAATAGTGGTGTCAAGATGACTGTGATCTTGACAACCCTTGACGCCAAGATGACAGGCAAATAGATAATGCTGTCTGGTTTTGGGTCTGAGGCCAACATCAAGAGGACCTTTACCCAGATAAGAAAATATGTGTGTCCCCAGGGTGGGGAACATCATATAGTGGGGCCTGTCGGGGGAGGGACAGCATTAGGAGAAATAGCTAATGTAAATGACGAGTTGATGGGAGCAGCAAACCAACATGGCACATGTACAGCTATGTAACAAACTTGCATGTTGTGCACATGTACTCTAGAACTTAAAGTATAATAAATTAAAAAAAAAAAGAAAGAACATATGTGTGTCCCTATGGGCCAACATAAACTCTCATTGGTATGGCCCCAACTAATGAAGGTCTTATGAATATAGATATATTATCTATGTGCAACCCCACTGACTTATCCAAGGCCTCATGGAAGGCTTATTTCCTTATTATTCCTTAACTTATTGCTGCAGTTAGAACCATTTCAGCAGGGCACAGGAAGACTGCGAACCTGCCCAATGTCCTATACTTACCACCTCTGTCTCCCATAATCTGTCTAGGAATAAAAAAGAAACAACTGCCTTCTTTGCTGAAGTTAATATAGAGAAAGTCTCCTTGAGATTATATCCCCATTCAATAACTCAGTACATCTAAGTGTAGGGCCTTGGATCAATAAAAGATTTTCAATTGATTTTGGCTGTTCAATCCAAACAACAGCTCTTTGGCCTTTGTCAATGGTATCTGACATTGTAAACATAATAGAAGCTATTGTCTAGAGTGTGAAAACTTACGTAACAATTCACACTGCACATGCCCCATTCAGTATCTATCTACATAGAGATGATTAGGATCAGTTTACCCTTGTATGGAATGGATAAAATTGACCACTAATATACTTAATTCCCTATCTGTCATCCATGCATAAACCATAACATAGAAAATGTCTCACTACCAGAGGAAGGACTAGCCTTCTAATCCATTCATGACACCATCCCAAACATGCAACCCCCCAAATAGGACTGGATGCTCTGTTGATGCACAGATGATAATTCTCTAAAGCATTATTACAAAGTACAAGTACCTAGTACCCAAGTGTAATTCCTGAGCATTATCTGTAAGGGGAATGTTGTCTTATTCCATGTGATAATACTGGCTCTGGCTCTCTCTGATCAAACAATTAAAAAGAAGATTAATGAGACTATTCGACTACTTACACTCTTGTATTGCCCATGTGGCAATCTTAATGCCATCCAACTATGGGGTTACAAGAAAGTTGTTTCCTTTATATGTGCCACAATCAGGAGGATGGCCTGGAGGTCCTCCAACAAGCAACCCAAACAGCACTACCCCTGGGCCACTCTGATATCCATTTACTGTTTGAGTAAGAGGTCTTCTGTTTGCCAATTGGAGGTTATGGCAGAAGGACACTGCCACAGGTCAGAGGAATCTATTGGGCTTTTGAACCTGTCATTTTCAGAAATACCTGAAAAGTATATACCCTTTAAGAGACAATTATTGGCCTTTTATTGGGCTTTGGTGAATTCTGAGCACACAACCCATGCTTGTGAAATAGTCTCAAGACAAGAAATTCCAACCAAAAGTTATCAATACTTTTATTTTCTAATTATCTTAGAGTATACATGCTTTAGGTCAAAGTTAAAAATTTCTATGAAACATATGCCCAAATACATATTCATGAATCAAAAAAAATTTCTGATAAGTTGAACTTAAAATAAATTAAAATAGGGGGATTGATGTAAGTAAGATCATGGAATAGGAGGCCCAGCCCTCTTTCTTCCACAAAAATGAAGACTTAACAACCAGACAAGGATAAAATTACCTTTATGAGACCTCTGGAATTCAAATGAGAGGCTACAGCACAGCAGTGGAACACAGAAACAAGGCAAAAGTGCAATTAAAGGATAATAAGAACAGTTTCATCTCTACTCATGTCACACCTTCCCCAAGCTGTCACAGCACAGTGCCAAGAGAGATCTCCTGGGCTTTTCAGTTTTCCCGTGGGGAATAAAGTGAGCATTGGACTTTTCCCAGCCTGTTATGGTATAACCTGAGAGGCCTACTTATACTGCACCACAATCAAAACACTCAGGGAATCAGCATGGCTAGATCACCTGAAGGTAGCTAAAAACCAAAAAAAAGAGGCAGGAAGAGGGGTGGTCAGAAGCTCTCAAGAAACAGTATGGATCCAATAGCTGACACACAAATCACAGCAGTAGGCTTGCCCACAAACCCTGAGAGCCAACACTCCTGTGGACCCTGACAGCTGACCTGCCCATGAACCCTGCTAATGGACCCACACAAACTCTGGCTGGGCTGTCTAGTGAAGGGCCAAAGCTAGCATGTAAAGATGCTTCTTTAAATGCACGTACATCAATGAAAATACAAGGATCATGAAGAATCAGGGCAATACAACCCCACGGGATGCTCTGTTGATGCACAGGTGATAACTCAAATAACAAAATATAGCTCAAATAAGAGATTCTTAAAAATGCAGATCTATGACCTCCCTGAAAAAGACATAAAAATAATGGCCTTAAACAAGCTCAGTGAACTAAAATAGAATACAGCTAGACAACCAAATAAAATTAGGGAAACAACACATGAACAAAAAATGAGAGATTCAACAAAGACTTACCAACCATAAAAATGTAAACCAACAGAAAGTCTGGAACAGAGGAACACAATGGATAAACTGAAAAATTTCATAGATAGCCTCAAAAGCAGACTTTATCAAGCAGAAGAAAATAGCAAAGCAACAAACTCTAAGACAGGTCCTTTGAAATTTCTTATTATGAGAAACAAAAATAAAAATAATGAAAAAGAGTGAAGAAATCCTATAAGATGTATGGGATACCATCATGTGAACCAATATATGCATATGGAAGTCCAAGAAGAAAGAGAGGGAAAATGGCAGAAGGCTTATTTAAAGAAATAATGAATACAGTTTTTTCAAATCTGAGGAGGAAAATGGACTTCCAGATACACGAAACACAAAGGATCCTAAATAGGTTGAATCTTAAGAAATTTACACTGAGACACATTAAATTGTCAAAACTCAAAGAAAATTTTGAAAATGGAAAGAAAAAAATGACATCACATACAAGATAAACCCATAAAACTATCAATAAGCTTTTCAGCACAAACCCTGCAGGCCAGAAGAGAATGAAATAATATATTCAAAGTACTGAATGAAATAAATGTCAACCAAGAATACTACACCCAGAAAAATTGTGCTTTAAAAGTTAAGCATAGATACTTTTCCAGACAAACAAAAATTTAGGGAGTTAATCAACACTAGACCAGCCTTACAAGGAGTGATAAAGGGAATTCTTTTTTTTTATTATTATTATACTTTAAGTTTTAGGATACATGTGCACAATGTGCAGGTTAGTTACATATGTATACATGTGCCATGCTGGTGTGCTGCACCCATTAACTCGTCATTTAGCATTAGGTATATCTCCTAATGCTATCCTTCCCCCCTCCCCCCACCCCACAACAGTCCCCAGAGTGTGATGTTCCCCTTCCTGTGTCCATGTGTTCTCATTGTTCAATTCCCACCTATGAGTGAGAACATGCGGTGTTTGGTTTTTTGTCCTTGCAATAGTTTACTGAGAATGATGATTTCCAATTTCATCCATGTCCCTACAAAGGACATGAACTCATCATTTTTTATGGCTGCATAGTATTCCATGGTATGTGCCACATTTTCTTAATCCAGTCTATCGTTGTTGGACATTTGGGTTGGTTCCAAGTCTTTGTATTGTGAATAGTGCCGCAATAAATATATGTGTGCATGTGTCTTTATAGCAGCATGATTTACAGACCTTTGGGTATATACCCAGTAATGGGATGGCTAGGTCAAATGGTATTTCTAGTTCTAGATCCCTGAGGAATCGCCACACTGCCTTCCACAATGGGTGAACTAGTTTACAGTCCCACCAACAGTGTAAAAGTGTTCCTATTTCTCCACATCCTCTCCAGCACCTGTTGTTTCCTGACTTTTTAATGATTGCCATTCTAACTGGTGTGAGATGGTATCTCATTGTGGTTTTGATTTGCATTTCTCTGATGGCCAGTGATGGTGAGCATTTTTTCATGTGTTTTTTGGCTGCATAAATGTCTTCTTTTGAGAAGTGTTTGCTCATGTCCTTCGCCCACATTTTGATGGGGTTGTTTGTTTTTTTCTTGTAAATTTGTTTGAGTTCATTGTAGATTCTGGATATTAGCCCTTTGTCAGATGAGTAGGTTGCGAAAATTTTCTCCCATTTTGTAGGTTGCCTGTTCACTCTGATGGTAGTTTCTTTTGCTGTACAGAAGCTCTTCAGTTTAATTAGATCCCATTTGTCAATTTTGGCTTTGTTGCCATTGCTTTTGGTGTTTTAGACATGAAGTCCGTGCCCATGCCTATGTCCTGAATGGTATTGCCTAGGTTTTCTTCTAGGGTTTTTATGGTTTTAGGTCTAACATTTAAGTCTTTAATCCACGTGAATTAATTTTGTATAAGGTGTAAGGAAGGGATTCTACATATGGCTAGCCAGTTTTCCCAGCACCATTTATTAAACAGGGAATCCTTTCCCCATTGCTTGTTTTTCTCAGGTTTGACAAAGATCAGGTAGTTGTAGATATGTGGCGTTATTTCTGAGGGCTCTGTTCTGTTCCATTGATCTATATCTCTGTTTTGGTACCAGTACCATGCTCTTTTGGTTACTGTAGCCTTGTAGTATAGTTGGAAGTCAGGTAGCGTGATGCCTCCAGCTCTGTTCTTTTGGCTTAGGATTGACTTGGTGATGCGGGCTCTTTTTTGGTTCCATATGAACTTTAAAGTAGTTTTTTCCAATTCTGTGAAGAAAGTCATTGGTAGCTGGATGGGGATGGCATTAAATCTATAAATTACCTTGGGCAGTATGGCCATTTTCACGATATTGATTCTTCCTTCCCATGAGCATGGAATGTTCTTCCATTTCTTTGTATCCTCTTTTATTTCATTGAGCAGTGGTTTGTAGTTCTCCTTGAAGAGGTCCTTCACGTCCGATAAAGGGAATTCTTAAAGTTGAAATGAAAGGATGCTCAACAGTAACACCAAAGTATATGAAAGTATAAATATCACTAGCAAGTAAACATATTGATAATCAGAAAATAATGTAATACTGTAATAGTGGTACATGAATCATTTTAACTCTAGTATAAAAGTTAAAAGCAAAAGTATTAAGGATAACTATAATCACAAAAATTGGTTAATGGATACAGAATATAAAGTAATTTTTGACATCAATAACCTAAAATGGGGGTGGAATAAAAATGTAAAATTTTTGTATACAATTGAAGTTAAGTTGTTAACAATTTAAAATAGATAACAATTTAAAATAGACCATTTTAACTTTATGGTAATCGTAACTGTAATTTTAACTTTATGGTAATCAAACCTCATGGTAATCGTAAAGAAAAACCTGTATCAGACACAAAAAAGATGAAAAGGAAATAAAGTATATCATTATAAAAAGTAATCAAATCACAAAGTAAAGCAGAAAGAGAGGAAGATAGGGCACAGCTATAAAACAGAGAGAAAACAATATAATTGCAATAGTAAGTCTTCACCTAGCAATAATAATTTTAAATATAAATAGGTTAAAGTTAACATTCAAAAGATACAGAGAAGCTGAAAGGATGAGAAAAGCAAGATCCACTATATGCTATTTGCAAGAGACTTGCTTTAGAGTTAAGGACAAACTGAACTAAAAGTGACGGGCTTAAACACTAAAAGAGAAGGAGAGGAAAAGATATCCCATGCAAACGGTATCAAAAAGAGAGCAGAAGTGGCTGTACTTAGATAACTAAGATGTCAAGAGACAAAAAAAAGGTCACCACACAAAAATAAAAGGGTCAATTCACCATTAAAATGGGCGACAGAGCAAGACTCCATCTCAAAAATATATATATGTATATAACAATGATAAATATACCTGTGTCCAACGTCAGAGCACATAAATACATAAGAAAAGTAATAATAGGTATGAAGAGAGAGACTTCAATACTCCACTTTCAAAAATGGATAGATCATCCAAACAGAAAATCAATAAACAACAGATCTGAACAACACTGTAGACCAAATGGACCTAACAGCCATTTAAAGAACATTCCATCCAAAAGCAGCGGAATACACACAATTCTCCTACACACTGAGATATTTACAGGATAAATCACATGCTATATCACAAAACAAGTCTTAAACATTTAAGAAAATTAAAACCATTACAAGATTATTTTCCAGTCACAATGGTATGAAACTAGAAATCAGTAATGAAAGAAAAATGGAAAAAAATCACAAATACATGAAAATTAAACAACAAATTTTGAACAACCACTGGATCAAGGAAGAAATCAAAAGGGAAATTAGAAACTATCTTGAGATTTTAAAAAATCCACAAAACTAAAATATACCAAAACTTACAGCAGGATGCAGCAAAAGCAGTACCATAAGGAAAGTTGATAATCACTATAAAAAATATTTCAAATGAACAACCTAACTTTACACTTCAAGGAAAAAGAAAAATAAGAAACTAAAGCCAAAGTTCACAGAAAAAAAAACAAAATTAGAACAGAAATAAATAAAATAGGAAAAAAATATAGAAAAAATTGATGAAAATGTGAGTTCGGTTTTTGAAAAGATAAAGAAAATTGACACACTATTAGCTAGATTAATTATTAAAAAGAGAAGACTCAAATAAATAAAACTAGATGAAAGAGGAGACACTACAACTGATGCCATGGAAATGAGAAAAGATCACAAATGACTATTATGAACAATTTATGGACCAACAAACTGGACAACAAAGAAGAAATTGTTAAATTCCTAGAACCTACCAATAACCTACCAAGACTGAATCAAGAAAAAATGGAAAACTTGAAAAGGTCAATAGTAAATAATAAGACTGATTCATGGTTTTCATGTTCAGAGATTCTGGTTACTGGTTCAGTCTCACTATTTGTTATTGATTTTTTAATGTAGAAAACCCTAAACTACACACACACACACACACACACACACACACACACGTGCACAATGGTTAGAACTAATAAATTCAGTAAAGGTACAGAATATAAAATTAACATACACAAATTGGTTTTGTTTTAATATACTAACAACGAACTATCCAAAAAGGAATTCAAAATCAATCCTACTTACAATCACATCAAAAAGGAAAAAATACTAGCAATACACTTATTCGAAAGGCAAAAGGCTTGTACACTGAAAACGATAATATATTGCTGAAAGAAATTAAAATGGAAAGACATCTTTTGTTCAAAATGGAAAAATTAATATTGTTACAATGCCCATACTACCCAAAGTGATGTACAATTCCTATCAAAATACCAATGGCACACTTTTACAGAAATTGAAATAACAATTCTAAAATTCATATGGAACCAAAAAACCCAAATAGTCAAAGCAATCTGGAGCAAGAAAAAAAAACTGGAGGCATCATACTTCCTGATTTTAAAACACATTACAAAGCTTATATTATAGTAAGTCAAAAATATGTACTGCCATAAAAGACATATACACCAATGTAACAGGGAGTCCAGAATTAATCCCTATGCACATATTGTGAACTTATCTTCTGCAAGGGTGGTAAGAATACACAAAAGGGAAAGCATAGTCTCCTCAATAGCATTGGGGAAACAGAGTATCCACATGGAAAAGAATGAAATTAAACTCTTACACTATACACAAAAAAATCAACCTTAGTAAAGTGGTTTAAAAAATAAATAAGGTAGGAAAGCACCAAGATGGCAGAGGAGATAGCAACCTTCATCCCTCCTGCTATGAAACAAATATAGACACCTTTCACAAACTACAATAGCCCAGAGAGGTGTCATGGGCACATTAATGAAACTGTAGCAACACAGTGGAGCACAATGTCCAAGTAGAAAGGATCTCTGGTGAGGTCAGCATATCTTAGACACCAGGAGATAGCTAGGAGCAAAGAAGAAAGGTGGAGGCTATGGGCATCAGCCATGCTGCTGGAACCACCATGGTTCCCAACGGCCTGATCCACCCAGGACACTGCCATTTCTTTCTACTGAGGTAACCAAGAGCCATCCCCACCAGGAAACCCCAGAAAGGGTGATGTGTCTGTACACTCCTCCTCCAAACAAGAATCAGCACTGTTAAGCCACTACTGGGAAAGAAGTCACCACCTCCTCTAACCCCATGTGTGCCCTGACCCAAAACATAGCCACTCTGCAAGTAACCACATTCCAGACCTGGGTTTTGTGTCTACATTGAACCCACCCACACCTCAGACATTGGGAATCGTTGTCACAGCAAGGTAGTTTGCATTCCAAATCCCAGAGCCACACGTTCACTGTGTGTGCCCATGCTCCAGACACTGGTTTAGCCATCATAGAGAGCTGGACTGTGCCCCAACTCCAGAGCAGCTCAAACTGTGTGGATATCAATATTCTCATTCTTAGCTGCCCAGCTATTTCACAGGAATCTGCACCTTGATTCTGTTACCAAGGTGGCAGCAGAGGTGCATGTGCCCTGGGCATAAGTGCTGTTACTGCCCTGGGTCCCAGAACCATGCTCCCTCCACACATTCCTGTGCTTCACATCTCAGTTCTGCAGCCACTCCATTGGCACCACTAATCAAATACTCATGCCACTACCAATGCAAGCAAGCTGACAAGTCAGACCCGGAACCAAGAGGGATTTTATCAGCAAAACTTCCTCACTGAGAGAAAAAGAAATCAGAAGAACTTTAATAGTCATTGCCACTGAAGACCCCAATAACCTTTGCCACAATTGCAAACATTCACAGCATTGGCTGCTGAGGATCCTCGAAATCTTTGTCATCACCAACCTCAGTTCCCAGAGCTACACAAAGGTGACACAACTCTCAATCTCATGAGTGCCAGAACTGCAGCAGCCCACCCAGCAAGCGCCCTCACACCCCTGTAGGAGAAGGTCTTTCAACAGCTAAACTAGTCAGAAGAGGCTACAAGAGGTGACTGCTGCACCAGATTTGCAGACATCAATGTAAAGCAACAAGAAACATGAAAAACTAAAGATACGACATGACCAAAACACCACAATAATCTCCTGAAGCTGATCCCAAAGAAATGCAGATATAAGAACTGCCTCATAAAAAATTCAAAACATTTTTTAGGAGGATCAGACAAGTTAGAAAAAATAGTTATGTGTGTCACTTAATGACAGGGATATGTCTTGAAACGTGTCATTAGGCAATTTTATCATTGCATAAACCTACATGGTATAGCCTACTACACACCTAAGTTATATGATATAGTCTACTGCTCCTATGCTATAAAGCTGTACAGTATGTTACTATACTAAATACTGTATTCAATTTGAATAAAATGGTAAATATTTGTATATCTAAACAGGAAAATTAGAAAAACATAGCACAAATATGGTATAAAGGTTTTAAAACTGATATACCTGTATAGAATACTTACCATCAAGGTAGCTTGCAGAACTAAGAGTTACTCTGAGTGAGTGAGTAAGTGAGTGGTGAATGTCAAGGCCTAGGACATTACTGTGCACTACTGTAGACTTAATAAACACTGTACACTTGGGTTACACTAAATTTTGAATGAATTTTCTTTATTCAATAATAAATTAACCTGAGTTTACTGTAACTTTTTATTTAATAAACTTTTAATGTTTTTTACTTTTTTACTCTTTTGTAATGACACAGCTTAAAACACAAACACACTGTACAATTGTACCATTTATAGAACTAAAAGCCCACATTAAATAAAAGATCCCAAATAAACAACCTAATGTTACACCACAAGGAACTAAGGAAAATAGAACAAACTAAACCCAAAGTTTATAGAAGGAAGAAAATAATAAAGCTCATGGAAGAAATAAACAAAATAGATACTAGAAAAACAATAGAAGGGAGAAAAAAACAATAGAAAAGATCAACAAAACTAAGAGTTGGTATTTTGAAATGATGAGTTCACGTCCTTTGTAGGGACATGGATGAAATTGGAAATCATCATTCTCAGTAAACTATCGCAAGAACAAAAAACCAGACACCGCATATTCTCACTCATAGGTGGGAATTGAACAATGAGAACACATGGACACAGGAAGGGGAACATCACACTCTGGGGACTGTTGTGGGGTGGGGGGAGGGGGGAGGGATAGCACTGGGAGATATACCTAATGCTAGATGACGAGTTAGTGGGTGCAGCGCACCAGCATGGCACATGTATACATATGTAACTAACCTGCACATTGTGCACATGTACCCTAAAACTTAAAGTATAATAATAATAAATTTAAAAAAAAAAGAAAGTAAATAAAAGTATAGGAAATCAACAGGAAGCAACTTAGAATGGTTTTCTATAAAAAACAACGAAATCATCTACCCTTAAAAAATCCTATGAACTGTTGACTGGGGAGTTCGGTAATGTTTGGATTGTATTCATTAAGACACAGCCTCAACAGACAAGGACTATTAAAACATATAATCAAATAAATTGCATTGTCTTCATTATAAAGAAAGAATATATTAACGAAAAGGGAATGATCCAGAGGGAAGACAGTAAAGGGTCTCTAAGAGGAAAGAACCCAGGACAACCCAGGAAAGGACATGTCCCGACCCCAGAAATAAGTATCCAATCCCTCTTACAAACGTGCCCCAAGCGAAGATGGATGTAATAGACATTTGATCATCCAATTCATTCTCCCTGGATTGACTCCATGCTCACCAAGCAAACGTCTGATTATAATTTGTCCTTTTATGTAATTTTACTGAGAAGAAAGAGAATTCACGTATAACAATACAAACATTCTACTGTCCCTGAAAGTTAAATATTTAAAATGATGAGTTAATAAATTAGAATTATGGACAACAACAACAACAAAAAAAGAAAAGACAAAATCAATGAATCTTTAATGAAACTAACAAAGAGAAAAGACTCAAAACCAGGAATAAAAGAAGAACTGTCACAACTGATGACACAGAGATACAAAAGATCATGAGAGACTACTATGAATAACTATATGGCACCAATTTCAATAACCGTGAAGAAATGAATAATTCCTAGACACATGCAACCTACCATGACTAAATCATGAAGAAGAGAAATATGAATAAACTAATAATGAGTAAGGTGATTAAATCACTAATATAAACTATTCTATTAAAGAAAAGCTAAGACCTCATGGATACACTACTAAATTCTACCCAATGTTTTAAGAAGAATTAATGCTAATGCCCCTCAAATGTTTCAAAAAAATAGAAGAAGAGAGATCACTTCCAAACTCATTTTAGGAGGCCAGCATTACTGATACCAAAGCCAGACAAGGACACTACAAGAAAAGACAAAGGCCAATATCTCTGATGATCATGCAAAACCTCAACAAAATACTAACAAACTAAATTCGACAGCACATTCAAAGAAGAATTCACCATGATCAAGTGTGGTTTATCTCCTGGGTGCAAGGATGGTTCAACATAAAGCAATAAATGTGATACATCACATTAACAGAATGAAGGACAAAAACCACATGATAATCTCAATAGATGCAGAAAAAACATCCAGTAAAATTCCAAATCATTTCAAAATAAAAATTTTAAACCAGTTAGGTATAGGAGGATTGTACCTCACCACAATAAAAGCCATATACAACAAACAAGCCACAGCTAACATTATACTTAATGGTAGTAAGTTGAGAGCGTTTCTTCTAAGATAAGAAACAAGACAAGGATGCTTATTCTTACCACTTCTATTCTACAGAACACTGGCAGCCCCAGGCAAATAAATTATGAAAGAAAAAGAAACAGAAGGCATTCAAATTGGATGGGGGAAGTAAAATTATCTTGGTCAGATAACATAAACCAATATATAGAAAACTCTGACGAACATTGATGCAAAAATTCTCAATAAAATACTGTCAAACCGATTCCAGCAGCACATCAGGAAGCTTATCCACCATGATCAAGTGGGCTTCATCCCTGGGATGCAAGGCTGGTTCAACATACACAAATCAATAAATGTAATCCAGCATATAAACAGAACCAAAGACAAAAACCACATGATTATCTCAATAGATGCAGAAAAGGCCTTTGACAAAATTCAACAGCCCTTCATGCTAAAAAATTCTCAATAAATTAGGTATTGATGGGACATATCTCAAAATAATAAGAGCTATCTATGACAAATCCACAGCCAATATCATACTGAATGGGCAAAAACTGGAAGCATTCCCTTTGAAAACTGGCACAAGACAGGGATGCCCTCTCTCACCACTCCTATCCAACATAGTGTTGGAAGTTCTGGCCAGGGCAATCAGGCAGGAGAAAGAAATAAAGGGTATTCAATTAGGAAAAGAGGAAGTCAAATTGTTCCTGTTTGCAGATGACATGATTGTATATCTAGAAAACCCCATCATCTCTGCCCAAAATCTCCTTAAGCTGATAGGCAACTTCAGCAAAGTCTCAGGATACAAAATCAATGTGCAAAAATCACAAGCATTCTTATACACCAATAACAGACAAACAGAGAGCCAAATTATGAGTGAACTCCCATTCACAATTGCTTCAAAGAGAATAAAACACCTGGGAATCCAACTTACAAGGGACGTGAAGGACCTCTTCAAGGAGAACTACAAACCACTGCTCAATGAAATAAAAGAGGATACAAACAAATGGAAGAACATCCCATACTCATGGGCAGGAAGAATCAATATCGTGAAAATGGCCATACTGCCCAAGGTAATTTATAGATTCAATGCCATCCCCATCAAGCTACCAGTGACTTTCTTCACAGGATTGGAAAAAACTACTTTAAAGTTCATATGGAACCAAAAAAGAGCCTGCATTGCCAAGTCAATCCTAAGCCAAAAGAACAAAGCTGGAGGCATCACGCTACCTGACTTCAAACTATACTACAAGGCTGCAGTAACCAAAAGAGCATGGTGCTGGTACCAAAACAGAGATATGGACCAATGGGACAGAACAGAGCCCTCAGAAATAATACCACACATCTACAACCATCTGATCTTTGACAAACCTGAGAAAAACAAGAAATGGGGAAAGGATTCCCTATTTAATAAATGGTGCTGGGAAAACTGGCTAGCCATATGTAGAAAGCTGAAACTGGATCCCTTCCTTACACCTTATACAAAAATTAATTCACGTGGATTAAAGACTTAAATGTTAGACCTGAAACCATAAAAACCCTAGAAGAAAATCTAGGCGATACCATTCAGGACATAGGCATGGGTAAAGACTTCATGTCTAAAACACCAAAAGCAATGGCAACAAAAGCCAAAATTGACAAATGGGATCTAATTAAACTGAAGAGTTTCTGCACAGCAAAAGAAACTACCATCAGAGTGAACAGGCAGCCTACAGAATGGGAGATAATTTTTGCAATCTACTCATCTGACAAAGGGCTAATATCCAAAATCTACAAAGAACTTAAACAAATTTACAAGAAAAAATCAAACAAACCTATCAAAAAGTGGGCAAAGGATATGAACAGACACTTCTCAAAAGAAGACATTTATGCAGCCACATGACAAAATGCTCATCATCACTGGCCATCAGAGAAATGCAAATCAAAACCACAATGAGATACCATCTCACACCAGTTAGAATGGTGATCATTAAAAAGTCAGGAAACAACAGGTGCTGGAGAGGATGTGGAGAAATAGGAACGCTTTTACACTGTTGGTGGGACTGTAAACTAGTTCAACCATTGTGGAAGGCAGTGTGGCAATTCTTCAAGGATCTAGAACTAGAAATACCATTTGACCCAGCCATCCCATTACTGGGTATATACCCAAAGGATTATAAATCATGCTGCTATAAAGACACATGCACACGTATGTTTATTGTGGCACTATTCACAATAGCAAAGACTTGGAACCAACCCAAATGTCCAACAATGATAGACTGAATTAAGAAAATGTGGCACATATACACCATGGAATAATACGCAACCATAAAAAAGGATGAGTTCATGTCCTTTGTAGGACATGGATGAAGCTGGAAACCATCATTCTCAGCAAACTATCGCAAGGACAAAAAACCAAACACTACATGTTCTCACTCATAGGTAGGAATTGAACAATGAGAACACTTGGACACAGGAAGGGGAACATCACACACTGGGGCCTATCATGGGGTGGGGGGAGGGGGGACCGATAGCATTAGAAGTTATACCTAATGTAAATGACAAGTTAATGGGTGCAGCACACCAACACGGCACATGTATATATATGTAACAAACCTGCACGTTGTGTACATGTACCCTAGAACGTAAAGTATAAAAAAAACAAAAGAAATACTAAGTCCAACCTTGCAGGATTATTGTGTATGTTAGAAAAATATTATGTTCTTCCTACTGCCGTACCTGGTATTTATTAGTAATTCAGTAAATGATAGCTATTTATATTATTATCTTTGTAATCTACCTTCTCTTCATCATCTTTAGGTCTCAGTGTAAATCAAAGGGAATAACATTGCTTATTCCAAAGGACTACCACAAGGACTAAATAACACCGGTGAAACTTCTTTGTCAATGAAAAAAAAAAAAAAAAGAAAAAGAATACTCTAAAGACTCCACCAAAAAACTATTAGACCAAATGATTAAATTCATAAAATTTTCAGGGTAGAAAGTCAACACACAAACATTAGTAGTGTTCCTATACTCTAACAATGAACTGTCTGAAAAAGAAGTCAAAAAGTAATCTCATTTACAATATCTACAAAAAATTAAGTTCCTAGGAATAAATTTAAACAAGGAGGAAAAAAAGTTCTACAATGAAAACTATAAAACATTAGTAAAAGAAGTTTAAGAAAGCACAAATAAATAAAAAGATATCCCATGTTCCTGGATTGGAAGAATTAATATTGTTAAAATGCCCATCAGTTATGAATTTAATCCCTATCAAAATCCCAGCAACATTTTTTGACAGAAATAGAAAAAATCCAAAAATTCATATGTAACCATAAAAGACGCTGAATAGCCAAAGCAATCTTGAGCAAGAAAAACAAAGCTGGAGGCACTGTACATCCTAATTTTAAAACATATTATTTAGCTACAGCAAACAAGACAGCATGGTACTGGTACAAAAACAGACATGTAGATCACTGGAATAAAATATACAATGGTGTTGAAAAACTAGATATCCACATGCAGAAGAATAAAATTATACCTTCATCTCACACTATATACAAAAATCAACTCAAATTGGATTAAGGACACATAAATTTAGGATCTGAAACTAGAATTGCTAGAAGAAAATATGGGAAACACTCAATTATGTTGATCTGGGCAAAGATTTTTTTAATATGACCCCAAAAGCAAGGTAATAAAAGCAAAAATAAGTAAATGGTATTAAACCAAACTAAAAAGCTCTGCACAGCAAAGCAAACAATCAACAGTAGGAATAAATAGCCTATTGCATGAGAGAAAGTATTTCCAAATCATAAATCTGATAAGCAGTTAAGATCCAATTTATAGAAGCAGCTCAAACAACTCAATAGTTAGAAAACAATCAACGCAAATAAAAGATGAGTATGGGATCTGAATAGACATTTCTCTAATGAAGACATGCAAATAGCCAACAGGTATATGAACAAGTGTTCAACATCACTAATCATCAGGGACATGCAAATTAAAACCACAATGAAATATCACTTCCCACACACTAAAGTAACTATTATCAAAAAGATGGAAGAGAAGTGCTGGCAAAGATGTGAAGAGAAGGGAACACTTGTACACTGTTGGTGGGAATGTAAATTAGTAAAGCCATAATGGAAAACACTACAGGGATTCCTCAAAAAATTAAAAATAGAACTACAATATTATCCACAATTTCACCTCTGGATGTACCTCCAAAGGATATGAAATCAGTATATAAAAGAGATATTTGTACTCCCATGTTCACTGTAACATTACTCACAATAACCAAGATACGGAATCAAACTTAGTGTCCAGCCACAGATCAATAGATAACGAAAATCACCCTTAAAAAAAGGAAGTAAATTTTGTCTTTTGTGATAATATGGATGAATGTGGAGAACATAATGTTAAATAAAGTAAGCCAGTCACTAAAAACAAATACTGCATTATCTTACCTATATGAGGAGTTTTAAAAAGTCAAGTTCATAGGAACAGAGAGTAAAATGTTGGTTATAAGAGGCTGATGGTGGGAGGACTGAAGCAATGTTGGTCAAAGGACACACATTTCAGCTGGAAATGAGAAACGTTTAAGAGATCTACTGCACTTCATGAGTACTGTTAATAATAACATATTGCAAAATTGCTAAGAGAAATTTTAAGTCTTCTCAATATAAAAAAATAACAAGGTAATATACATGTTAAATAGCTTGATTTTATTTTCCACAATTTATATTTAAATTCCACAATTTATTATTCCACAATTTATATATTAAAACACTATGTAGTACATGATGAATGTATATAATTTTTACTTGCCAATTAAAAATAAATCTTAAATTATTTTAAGGTTATCTACAATTATTACACTTACTACTGAGTTGATTATCTTGGAAAGATTTTTGTTTCTTTACTTCTACTTCCGTTTTTGACTTTGTGTCTTGTTCAAGCATAAGATTTTCTTCTGGTACATCATTATGAGCTACACAAATTAATAAATTTAGTGCACTAAACATAAACTATAGTGAAATTTCTAGATTTCAGATTTATAACAAGTATACAGCCATATTCTGTCTCATTTTTATACATGTAAAATATAAGTAAATTACTATAATTCTAGATCTGACATGAAAATAGTGACAAGAACTTTAAAGGATCTGAGGTGAAGTAGTCTCATTATTTTGATATTTCTTGGCATCAAATATTTATATTAGCCTCTACTTGTTCTTAATTATTTATAATTTAGATTAATATATATTCATAGGCAAAGCAATGAAAATTCATATGTGCAAGTTTATTCATTACAGCATACTTTTAATTACAAAATACTCAAAATCACTTAAATGTACAAGCATATGAAATTGGTTAATAAAAAGGTATATATTATAATTTGTGGTATTATCAACTACAATATTTAATATGATACAAAGAGTTGTACAGGAAGCTCTAAAAGTAATAAAAAGATTGTTACAACCTGATTTAGAGGGATTTATAGAAGGTAATGTTAAGTGAGAAAAAATTGAAATAGAAGAAAGATATCAAGTATGCTATCCATTAGGAAATAAATGTAAAGAGATACTTACTTTTAGAAATTGAAACACAGGAAAGATAAACCAGAAAACAAAGTAGTTGGTGACCAAAATTTGCATAGACCCTACATGCAAAATTGCATCCAATGACCATTGTTAAATCTAAGCATGTTCCTAGCACTGAGTGTCTACAATGCATGTTTTCATGTTTTATTCATTTTTCCATGTGTGATGAAAAAGTATGTAGAGTCCTCATGATCATATTGCACACCAATCAAAAGAGACCATAGAAGAGATGTGAATAGTTCACCTTTACCTTAAATGAGTTACTCTCGTTAGATTTAATTAGGGACAGTGGCACTTATGAGGTGTGTCACTGCAGACCTCCTTATTCAGAATGTCCTTCCATGGCCACTTTGCCCAAGAAGGATGAAGAAGTGGGTAGGGGGAAAGTGTTACATACATATGAGAACCTCTCTTTTCTTAGCTGGCTGCTATTCGGCCTCTGACTAATTTGGTCCAACTGTGGTGAGTTCCCTGCCACTGAAAAACCTTTTCTGATCACTCTTCCAGTCACCTCCAAAGTGCCCTGAAAGCTACCTGATAGTCTCTTACTTCAGCAATAAGGAGTAAGAACAACAGAAGACAAATAAGATCATTTACCAAACTCAGACCTAGGTTCATTTGTGCTACTCTCATTGGTTATCTAGCTCAATTGAACTTGATGATGTGAAATAGTTAGCAGCACAATCCAGATCTTAACTGAAAAATTTCCATGCCAGACAAAAGAACCTACTGCCAAGACACCAGTATTTCATTAGCAGTCAGAGTGATGTAAAAATGTAACTGGGCACTCACTCCTGGACCATTTGTTTAAGTCCCTTCTCAAAGACATCTATGGCTCTAGTTGCTCAACAATAAGGTCTCAAGGAAGAGATTGAGGGGCTCTCCATTAGATGCTTATCATCATTTAATAGTCATGGGGGCACAACACAGAGCCCCACTACAGTCCAAATAGTGAGGTCTCCTGTAGCTAATAAAAGCGCTATCCTGGATACCCAAAGTGGTGGAGCAAGATGGTCAAATAGAAGGTTACACCAATTATCCCTCTTGCAGGAACAACAAATTTAAAACTATCTATACAGGAAAAAGCACCTTAGTAGGAACCAAAAATCTGCTGAACACTCACAGTATCTGGTTTTAACTTCATATTGTTGAAAGAGGCACTGAAGAGGGTAGAAAGGACAGTCTTGAATTGCTAATGCCATCCCTCCCCCATTGCTCAGCAGTGTCCGCCTGGTGCAGAGAGAAATTATTTGTGCTCTTTGAGAGAAACAGTGCAGTGATTGTGAGACTTTGCATTGAACTCAGTGCTACCCTGTCATGGCAGAAAGAAAAATCAAGCTAAACTCAGCTGATGCCCACCTATGGAGAGAGGCCAAAAGGGAATTGCATATCCCTGCTGTTGGAACTTGAGTTCTGGCAAGCCTTACCACCATGGGCTAAAAGTTCCCTGGAACTTAACTTCAAAGGCAATATAGGCCACAAGGACTGCAACTCCTAGGCAAGTCCTAGTGCTGAGCCGGATTCAGAGCCAGTGGACTTAGGGGGCATCTACTGAGACACCAGCCAGGACAGCTAAAGGAGTGCTGTGCCACCCCTACTCCAAACCCAGGCAGTGCAACTCACAGCTCCAAAAAAGACCTTCTTCTTGAGGAGAAGAGAGGGATGAATAAAAAAGATTTCATCTTGTATCTTGGATACCAGCTCAGCCACAGTAGGATAGGGCACTGGGCAGAATTTTGAGGCCTCCGTTCCAGGCCTTAGTTCCTGGATGACACTTCTAGACACATCCTGGGCCAAAAGGGAACTTGCCACCTTCAAGAGAAGAATTCAGTCCTGGCAAGATCTATCACCTGCTGACTAAAGAGCCCTTGGGCCCTGAATAATCAGCAGCAAGATCTCGGTAGTATGCTATGGGCATCAGGTGAGACTCTGAGATATGCTGGCTTCAGGTGAGACCCAGCACATTTCCAACTGTGGTGGCTATGGTAAGAAACTCCCTCTGCTTAAGAAAAACAGAGGAAAAATTGCCACACTGACTTCCACAATGGTTGAACTAGTTTACAGTCCCACCAACAGTGTAAAAGTGTTCCTATTTCTCCACATCCTCTCCAGCACCTGTTGTTTCCTGACTTTTTAATGATTGCCATTCTAACTGGTGTGAGATGGTATCTCATTGTGGTTTTGATTTGCATTTCTCTGATGGCCAGTGATGATGAGCATTTTTTCATGTGTTTTTTGGCTGCATAAATGTCTTCTTTTGAGAAGTGTCTGTTCATGTCCTTCGCCCACTTTTTGATGGGGTTGTTTTTTTCTTGTAAATTTGTTGGAGTTCATTGTAGATTCTGGATATTAGCCCTTTGTCAGATGAGTAGGTTGTGAAAATTTTCTCCCATTTTGTAGGTTGCCTGTTCACTCTGATGGTAGTTTCTTTTGCTGTGCAGAAGCTCTTTAGTTTAATTAGATCCCATTTGTCAATTTTGGCTTTTGTTGCCATTGCTTTTGGTGTTTTAGACATGAAGTCCTTGCCCATGCCTATGTCCTGAATGGTAATGCCTAGGTTTTCTTCTAGGGTTTTTATGGTTTTAGGTCTAACGTTTAAGTCTTTAATCCATCTTGAATTGATTTTTGTATAAGGTGTAAGGAAGGGATCCAGTTTCAGCTTTCTATATATGGCTAGCCAGTTTTCCCAGCACCATTTATTAAATAGGGAATCCTTTCCCCATTGCTTGTTTTTCTCAGGTTTGTCAAAGATCAGGGATCTAGAACTGGAAATACCATTTGACCCAGCCATCCCATTACTGGGTATATACCCAAAGGACTATAAATCATGCTGCTATAAAGACACATGCACACGTATGTTTATTGCGGCATTATTCACAATAGCAAAGACTTGGAACCAACCCAAATGTCCAATAATGATAGACTGGATTAAGAAAATGTGGCACATATACACCATGGAATACTATGCAGCCATAAAAAATGATGAGTTCATGTCCTTTGTAGGGACATGGATGAAATTGGAAATCATCATTCTCAGTAAACTATCGCAAGAACAAAAAACCAAACACCACATATTCTCACTCATAGGTGGGAATTGAACAATGAGAACACATGGACACAGGAAGGGGAACATCACACTCTGGGGACTGTTGTGGGGTGGGGGGAGGCGGGAGGGATAGCATTGGGAGATATACCTAATGCTAGATGACGAGTTAGTGGGTGCAGCGCACCAGCATGGCACATGTATACATATGTAACTAACCTGCACAATGTGCACATGTACCCTAAAACTTAAAGTATAATATTAAAAAAAAAGAAAAAAAAAAGAAAAACAGAGGAAAAAGTAAAGAGGACTTTGTCTTGTACCTTAGGTACCCACTCAGGCAAAAAGCAGTGAGCACCAAACAGGCACGTACATGTGCACACGTCTTTATAGGAGAATGATATCTATTCCTTTGGGTATATACCCAGTAACGGGATTGCTGGGCTAAATGCTATTTCTGTTTTTAGGTCTTTGATGAATCACCATACTGTCTTCCACAATGGTTGAACTAATTTACACTCCCACCAACTGTGTATAAGTGTTCCTTTTCCTTTGCAACTTTGCCAGCATCAGTTCTTTTTGGGCTTTTTAGTAATAGCCATTCTGATTGGTGTGAGACGGCATCTCATGGTTTTCATTTGCATTTCTCTAATGATCAGTGATGTTAAGCTTTTTTTATATGATTGTCGGCCACATGTATGTCTTCTTTGGAAGTGTCCATTCATGTCTTTTGCCCACTTTTTAATGGGGTTGTTTGTTGTTGTTGCTGTTTATTTTTTTGTAAATGTGTTTTAGTTTCGTATAGATGCTGGATATTAGACCTTAAACATAACTTTCATATGGACCATGAAACAAAAAATGTGTAACTTGCTTTATTGTGATATTTGCTTTATTGTGGTGTTCTAGAACTGAACCTGCAGTATCTCCAAGGTATGACTTTGGTCATATTTTAGGCCATAAAATAAGTCTTAACAAATTTTAGAAGGCTGAAATCATATCAATTATCTTTTCTTACCACAATGGTATAAAACTAGAAATCAATCACAGGAAATTTTTCAGAAAATTCAAAATGTGGGAAAATTTAGTGGCACACTCCTGGATAACCAATGAGTCAATGAGAAAATAAAAAGGAAAATCAAAAATATCTCAAGATAAACTAAAATGGAAACACAACATAACAAAACATGAAATGATGCAAAAGCAGTCCTAACAGGAGGTTTATAGCAATGAATGTCTACATTAAGAAAAAAAGAAAGACCTCAAATCCAAAAATCTAGTACATGTCATGGAACACTAAAAACAAAGAGCAAACTAAGTCCACAGTTAATAGGAGGAAGGAAATAATGAAGATCAGAGCAGAACTAAATGCAATAGAGACTAGAAAAACTCTAGAAATGGTCAACAAAACTAAGAGCTTATTCTTTGAAAGGATAAACAAAATTGGCAAAATTTTAGCTATACAAAAAAGAAAATTCAAATAAATACAATTATAAATGAGAGATGAGACATTACAACTGACCACAGAAATACAAAAAATTATGACTATTATGAACAATTATACACCAAAAATTGAATAATCTAGAACAAATGTATAAATTCATAGAAATATGTAACTTACCAAGACTGCAATATATGTCTTTATGGGCCTGGATTATTTCACTTAGCATAATATCCTCCAGGTTCATCGATGCCGTTGCAACTGACAGAACTTCTTTATTTAAGGCCACATAATATTTCGTTGTGTATATATACAGCACATTTTTATCTATTCATTTGTCAAAGGACACTGATATGGTTTGTGTGTGTCCCCACCCAAATCTCATATTGAATTGTAGTTTCCATAATCCCCATGTGTCATGGGAGGGACCCAGCAGGAGGTAATTGAATGATGAGGGCGCCAACCTCCATGCTATTCTCATGATAGTAAATGAGTTCTTACGAGATATGAATGGTTTTATAAGAGGTTTTTCCCCCTTTGCACAGCACTTCTCTCTCCTGCCACCTTGTGAAGGAGGATGTCTTTGCTTCTCCTTCCACCATAATTGTAAGTTTTCTGAGGCCATCCCAGCCATGTGGAACTGTGAGTAAATTAACTTCTTTTCTATAAATTACCTAGTCTCAGGTATTTCTTCATAGCAGTTTGAGAATGAACTAATATAGTAAATTGGTACCACAGTAGTGAGGCACTGCCATAAAGATAACCAAAAATGTAGAAGCAACTTTGGAACTAGGTAACAGGCAGAGGTTGGAGCAGTTTGGAGGACTTAGAAGGCAGGAAGATGTGGGAAAGTTTGGAACTTCCTGGAGACTTGTTAAATGGCTTTGGCCAAAATGCTGATAGTGATATGGACAATGAAGTCCAGCCTGAGGTGGTCTCAGATGGAGATGAAGAAGTTGTTCGGAACTGGAATAAAGGTGACTCTTGCAATACTTTAGCAAAGAGACTGGTAGCATTTTGCCCCTGCCCTACAGATCTGTGGAATTTTGAACTTGAGAGAGATGATTTATGGTATCTGGCAGAAGAAATTTCTAAGCAGCAAAGTGTTCAAGAGGAAGCAGAACATAAAAGTTTGAAAAATTTGCAGCCTGATGATGCAATACAAAAGAAAAACCCATTTTCTGGGGAGAAATTCAAGCCTGCTGCAGAAATTTCCATAAGTAACGAGGAGCTAATGTTAATCACCAAGACAATGGGGAAAATGTCTCCAAGTCATGTCAGAGACCTTCACAGCAGCCCCTCCCATCACAGGCCCAGAGGCCTAGGAGGAAAAAATGGTTTCCTGGATCAGGCCCAGGTTCCCCTGCTCTGTGCAGCCTCAGGACATGGTGCCCTACATCCCAGCTGCTTCACCTCCAGCCATTCCTGAAATAGACCAATGTACAGCTCAGACCATTGCTTCAGAGGGTGCAAGCCCCAAGCCTTGGCAGCTTCCACATGGTTTTGAGCCTGCAGGTATAAAGAAGTCAAGAATTGAGATTTGGGAACTTCTGCCTAGATTTCAGAGGATGTACGGAAATGTCTGGATGTCCAGGCAGAAGTTTGCTGCAGGTGGGGAGCATTCACGGAGAACCTCTGCTAGGGCAGTGTAGAAGGGAAATGTGGAGTTGGAGCCCCCACACAGAGTCCCCACTGGGGCACTGCCTAGTAGAGCTGTGAGAAGAGGGCCACTGTCCTCCAGACCCCAGAATGGAAGATCCACTGACAGCTTGCATCATGTGCCTGGAAAAGCTGGAGACACTCAAGGCCAGCTGTGAAGGCACCTGGGAATGGGGCTGTACCCCACAAAGCCACAAGGGTGGAGCTGCCTAAGGCCACGGAAGCCCACCTCTTGCACCAGTGTGCCCTGGATGTGAGACATGAAGTCAAAGAAGATCATTTTGGAACTTTAAAATTTAATGACTGCCCTATTGGATTTTGAACTTGATTGGGGCATGTAGCCTCTTTGTTGTGGCCAATTTCTCCTATTTGGAATGGGTGTATTTACCCAGTGCATGTTCCCCCATTGTATCTGGAAAGTAAGCCTTTGATTTCACAGGGTGATAGGCAGAAGGGACTTGCCTTGTCTCACAAGTACTTAGACTTTTGAGTTAATGCTGGAATAAGTTAAGACTTTGGGGGACTGTTGGAAGGGCATGATTGTGTTTTGAAATGTGAGGACATGAGATTTGGGAGGGGCCGGGTGGAATGATATGGTTTGGCTCGCCGCACCCAAATCTCATCTTGAATTGTAGCTCCCATAATCCCCACATGACATGGGAGGGACCCAGTGGGAGGTGACTGAATCACGGGGGCAGTTACCCCCATGCTATTCTCATGATTGTGAGTTATCACAAGATCTGATGGTTTTCTGAGGTGCTTTCCCCCTTTGATTGGCACTTCTCTCTCCTGCTGCCTTGTGAAGAAGGATGTGTTTGCTTCCCCTTCTGCCATGATTGTAAGTTTCCTGAGGCCACCCAGCCATGCAGAACTGTGAGTCAAGTAAATCTCTTTTCTTTATAAATTACCCAGTCTCAGGTATTTCTTCATAGCAACATAAGAATGGACTAACACAGACACTTAAGTTGATTCCACATCTTGTCTACTGTGAATAATGCTGCAATAAACATAGGATTGCTGATATCTCTTTGACATACTAATTTAATTTCTTTTGACTGTATGCCCAGAAATGGAACTGCTGGATCTGATGGTAATTCTGTTTTTAATTTTTTGAGGAACTGCCATAATAAATATAAAACAATAAAACTACTAGAAGAAAACGTAGGGAAAAATCTCCCTGACATTGGTCTTAGCAATGATTTTTTTAATACAACCCCAAAAGCAAAAATAGAATAAGATTGTATCAAACTAAACAGTTCCTGCACAGAAAACAAAACTATCAACAGTATGAAGAGACAACCTACAGAATGGGAGAAGATGTTTGCAAACTATAGATCTGATAAGGAGTTAATAGTCAAAATACGTAAGGAATGCAATCAATTCAATATTAAGAAGCAACCCAATTTAAAGATGTACAAAAAGCCTAATACATATTTCTCAAAAGAAGACATATAGGCCAGACATCGTGGCTAATGCCTGTAATCCCAGCACTTTGGGAGGCCAAGGTAGGTGGCTCACTTGAGATCAGGAGTTTGAGACCAGCCTGGCCAACATACAGTGAAACCCCATCTCTACTAAAAAATACAAAAATTAGCTGGACATGGTGGCACGCACTACTTGGGTGGCATCCCAAGTAGTTCCAGCTACTTGGGAAGTTGAGGTAGGAGAATCACTTGAACCCAGAATGTGGAGGTTGCAGTGAGCCAAGATCACACCACTGCACTCCAGCCCAGGCAACAGAGCAAGACTCTGTCTCTCAAAAACAAACAAACAAAAAAGACACATAAATAGTCAACAAGTATATGAAAAAATGCTCAACATTTTTAATCATCAGGGAAATGCAAATTAAAGCCACAATGAGATATCACCTCACACCTATTAGAACAACTATAATGAAAAACGCAAAAGATAACAAATGGTGAGAAACTGGAGAAAGAAAACCCTTGTATAATTGTTGGTGCAATTGAAAATATGTGTACAGTCATTATAGAACAAATACATTTTCTAATGGCTGACCTTGGTAACAGTTAGCATGTTAATATGCCCTAATTCCATTCCCCTCACTCTAGGTCCTTGGTAACCCAGTCAACCAACAGCCTCACAACTATAATAGCTGTGAAATCCAGCTGCCTAACAACCCCTAGAGAGGGCAAAATAAGTTTGAGGATCCCCAAAAGCACCATTCCTAGAGAATAACCACTATTTGATGATGTATCTGCCAGCTTCCTGAAAAGATGCACTGTCAAGGTATATATCTATTTGACCTGACTTAGAGCTTTCCTTGTCCAGAATATCCCTCACCCTAGGGCATTTGTCAAAAAATGATCAGTGGTAACTGCTTAACATAGTAGACATGTGATGAGCACTACCAGGTTGGGGCTGACCATCAAAATCTCAAAAAGAAAAATTGGGAAATTAGATGTCCATAAGGAGTGGCTCTATAAAGCTCTAACATGTATCAGGGAATCTAATAGACAAAACACATATGTAGGGCTGTGCACAGGTTTAGGAAAGACATGAATATTCCCAGATCTCTCACCTCTAACTGACCTTGAGGTTCTGAGCAAACAGGAAATGAAGGCTAAGGCAGAGTTACAAACTTCTTACCTCAGCATTGAAAGCATGCCTCAAGACACACAGAGACACACAGGGAGCCCCTCTACAAGGGTGGGAGACATCAATTCAATACATTTAAGGAAATCTCTGTCTAGTCATTAGCTGATCACTAAGCTAACTAAGCAGACTTCAGTAGTTACAAACAACAAAATATATAAACTTTACAAAACTAGTCCAAGAAATGCACTAATCAAACAAATAACAAAAACAGCAAAATAACAAACCCTGGGAAAGAAGAGTAATCTAATTTTCAGAATTTCACATCATATTATTTAGAATTTAAACAAAAAATTATCAGACACGCACAGAAACAAGAAAATAGCCAATACACAAAACAAAAATAGATCAGTTAATAAAAACTCTCCCTGAAGATGCCAAGATGTTGGACTTACTAGACAAAGATTCTAAATCAGCTATTATAAAACTATTCAAATAACTAAAGGGAATCATATCTAAAGAATTAAAGTGTAATAATATCTCACTGTGAAAGAAAATCAATAGCATGATATAAATTTCCCGAAGTAACCAAATAGAAATTCTGGAGTTGAAAACCACAATAACTGAAATGGAAAGATGGAATCAAAGGACTATTTTAAAAGACAAAAAAATTAGTGACATTAAAGACAAATAAGTTGAAATTACCTAGTCAGAGAAACATAAAGAAAAAGGAATGAAGCAAATTAACAGAGCCTCAGAAATTGGTACAACACCATCCAAGTGTACCAACATACACATAATGGGCATTCCAGAAGAAGAAAAGAGGAAGAGAAGAAAAAACTTTTTTAATAAATAGTGAATGAAAAGTTCCAAAATTTTGTTAAAGCATTAATCTTCACATCAAGAAGTTCCATAAATTCAAAAATAAACTCATAGAAATCCACACATACATGTATCATAGTCAAATTGTGATATGAAATTGTTTTCTAGAAATTGCAACATTTGTAATTTGAGATGGGCTTTTGAGTTTAAAATTTATATTCAGGTGTAAGATTTTTCCTTTGGCTGAAAAAACCTCACCCATTTTCTCAGCTATAAGAAGAAAGGCTTTGAGATAGAATCACCAGAGCAAGATGGAGGAAGAACCCTATCCATCCACAGGAACATCAAATTGAATGACTATCCATGCAAGAATACACCTTCACAAGAACTAAAGGAATCAGGTGAGAGGTCATGGTACCTGGTTTTAGCATAATAACTAGAAAATATTCATTGAAGAGAGCAGAAAGTACAGTCTCACACCCCTCCCCCAAACCGAAGTGGCACAGTGTGTAGAAAAATCTTTCTTCTTGAAGGAGAGGAAAGTATCAGGGGGTGGGGGCTGTATTGGAACTTAGTACCAGCTTTGCTACAGTAAAACACAGCACCAGGTTAGAACTCTGTGGTCCTTGATTCTAGGCCAGTGCTCACATAGGGAGCATTGAGACTCACCCCAGCCCCAAGGGAATCAGCTGCCCCAGCAAGAGGAACCTGAGTCCTATACCCCTTAAACACCAGCTGCCTAAAGTGACTTCAGGTCCCAAATATAAAAAATAATAATAATTTTACAGGTTAGGGGGAAGTAAGATGACATATTCAAAGTGCTGAAGGAAAAGAATTGACAACCTAAAATAGTGTATTCAACAAAGCTATCCTTCTAACATGAAGGGAAGATAACGACTTTCCTAGACAAACAAAAGGTGAGAAAACTTACCACATCCAAACCTGTTTTATAAGAAATACTAAAGGAAGTTACTCAATCTGATGGCAAAGGATTCTAATGTTTAACAACGAAACATCAGAAATTTTTTATAAAAATCTCTGCTAATAGAAACAATACAAATTCAGAATACTCTAATACTGTAACTGTGGTATATAAAGGACTCATATATTTAGTTTGAAGACAGACAAAACTATTAAAAAATAATAACTAGAAAAATTTATTATGCATTAGGCAGTACAAAAATATAGAAATTGAGATATCTAAAAGTCAAAATGTGAGGAGTAAAGTATAAAGTTTTTTTTAGTTTTGTTTCTCTTTTCTTTGTGACCAATGTTAACTTGTCATCAGGTTAAAATAATTAGTTACATAAGATGTTTTCTGTAAGCCTCACGGTAACCACAAAGTGAAAACCTATAATAGATATACTAAAAACAAAAAGCAATGAATTAAAACATACCATCAGAGAAAAACAACCACAAAAGAAGACAGAAAGTAAGAAAGAGAAGATTTACAAAACAACAGTAAAATTAGCAACAAAATATCAATAGTAAGACCTTAATTATGCATAATAACCATGAATGTTAAAGGACAGAATTCTCCAAATTAAAGACATAGAGTGGCTGAATGAAAAAAATAAGATCCAAGTATATGTGCCCTATAGAAAACCTACTTCACCTATAAAGACATGCATAAGCTGAAAAAAAGGGTTGGAAAAAGATCTTCCAACCAAAGGGAAACCAAAAAAGAGCAGGAGTAGCTACATTTATATGAGATAAAATACACTTTAAGTTAAAAATTATTTTAAAAATATAAATCAAGCCATTATATTATGATAAAGGGCTCAATACAACAGAAGGATGTAACAATTATAAATATATGTACACACAACACAGGAGCACCTAAACATATAAAGCAAATATTAACAGACTAAAAGCGATTGAACGTGATACAATAATAGGAGGGGAATTCAACACTACACTTTCAGATCATCCAGACAAAAAATCAACAAAGAAACTGGAAATTTTTCTGACAGAGCAGAAGCATTGCCATCTTGGACAAGCACTGCCACTTTAAAGTTCACCTTAATAAAAAACCGCCTAAATCTTCCCAAAGGGCATCAGCCTAATGGCTAATGTCAGCATGACCATAAACCACAGATAACATCTCTGACCAGAAACATTCTAACCCTAAGATAAAATTCTCCCCAACCAGAAACATGCCAGCCCCAAGAAAACCTCCCTTCCCGCCAGAGAGGTGTCAGCCCCAAGATGACCTCCCCTCCGACCAGGGACATTCCAACCCTGCAATAAACTTTTCCTCCACACAGAAACTTCCTACCCTGTGATAAGCTCTCTCACCCTGAACCCTTAAATACTCTTAGTCTGTAAGACAGAGTGCTCCTGCCCGAAATCCTCCAGAAACCGCTCTCCAGTTTATTCTCCAAAATAAACCTGTCTTTGACTGCTGAGCCATTTTTCATGTTTCTTTCCTTTTTCTTTAACTCTTACATTTTCCAAGACAACTGACTAGACGCAACCAGGAACTGCTGCTCTCATAGACAGAGCTCACAGTTTCGACTATACCAACATAATTTGAACCAATCTCTGGACAGAAAACACCAAATGTGGATGGAAAAAAGACTCACATGCTGAGGCTGAATAGGGAGGAAGCTGGGAACCCAAGTTGGAGCACCTGAGCACCCCAGCTGTTTCCCAGCACCAAATGGTGCCTGAGGAAGGGGTGAGTTAAGAGACTGGGAGACTGCTCAATCTTACTGCAAACCTCTGAGATCCTAGTTGCAGGGGAACTCACTCCCACATGGATGTGTGAGCTGGCAGGGGAGATCTCCCTGAAGATTAGATGGAGACAGAGCTGCAGCAGGTGCAAAGCTGAGGACCCTTGAGTGCAGGTCAGTCCCAGCAAAGCTCAGCCATAAGCATCCACTCCCAGGGCTACCTGTCTCCCTCTGAGAGGCTCTGAACCCACCAAGGAGAAAACAGGTTGTGCTTCTCTGTGGGACTGGGGCACATCTGACCCGCAGACCCACCTGCCTGCCAGCCCCTCCCAGGAACCTTCCCTAACTGTCCCGTAAGAGAATGTACATAATGCAGCCTCCACTGCCCAGACTGGGTGTTTTGCTCCACCTGAGTGCATTCTGGCATCCTGGGAGCCCTTCAGATCCCACACTGCACCCAGAACCCATCCCTGAGTGCCTGGAGGAGGGAGTTGCAAGCAGACCCTAGAGCCCTCAGGCTGTAGCCTGTGGCTCAGGAGGGTTGAGCTGAGATTTGTGCTTGGTACTTGAACAGGACAGGAGCCCACACTCTCAGAAAACTGAGAGTCCTGAGTGGTACAGGCTCACAAGCTGGTGTGAGACCTAGCCATGCCTCCCTGCACAAGGTTGATTCATAAAGGGTGTTGCCTGTTTCCCCATCAGACCTCTCCCTAAGGGAGCCCTGTGGCCCAAAAGATCTAACCACCATCACCACAACAAAATTGCAGGCACAGTGCCAGTGGTTGGCAGTGGTTCTCCCAAGGCTCATGGGCAAGCCTGGTGAGAGAGTTACATCTCTTCTCCTCACATGGCAGAACACAGTTGCAAATGTGAAGATGCACAAAGGAAATGTGTGGTTAAGAGCCTATCTACTGCTCATTGCTCTCAAGCACCATCTACCGTATGGCAACCCAAACTACAACACCAAAAATCACTTTAATAATTATCCCCACTGTGAAACCAAGAACAAGAATTTTACAACAAAGACCCTATACAGAGCCTTAGTCCTCTGAAACTTCCAGAAGCAAAGCCAATGGACTATGCTCAATTTATAACACAATGAAAAGAATACTAGTCCTCCCAGATGAGAACAAATCAGGACAAGGACCCTGGTAATTCAAAAAGCCAGAATGTCGCCTTGCCTCCAAATGAGCCCACTACTTCCCTAGTAATGGTTCATAACCAGTCTGGATTGTCTGAAATGACAGACATGGAATTCAGAATCTTGACGGCAAAGAAGCTCATTGAGATCACAGAGAAAGTTGAAAATCAATCCAAGAAAGCCAAGCAATCCACTAAAACAAAGAGCTGAACAACAAAATTCCCTTTTTAAGAAGAACCAAACTGAACTTCCTGAGCTGAAAAGCTCACTACAAGAATTTCATAATACAATCAGAAGTATTAACAGCAGAATAGACCAAGTTGAGGAAAGAATCTCAGAGTTTGAAGACTGGTTCTATGAATCAACTCAGTCAGACAAAAATAAAGAAAACAATTAAGAAAAATGAACAAAACATCCCAGAAATATGGGATTATGTAAGAAGGCAAAATTAACAATTCATTGGCATTCCTGAGAGAGGAGAATAAGCAACTTGTAAAATATATTTGAGGATATAGTCCACAAATATTTTCCTACTCTTGCTAGAGAGGTCAACATGCAAATCCAAGAAATACAGAGAACTTCAGCCAGATACGATATAAGATAATCATTCCTATGGCAATTAATCATCAGATTCATCAAAGGGATTGCAAAAGAAAAATCCTTAGAGGCAGCTAGAGAGAAGGTGCCAGTCACCTAGAGAAGGAATTCCATCAGCCTAGCAGCAGACCTCTCAGCAGAAACATTACAAGACAGAAAAGATTGGGGGCCAATTTTCTTTATTTTTCTTCATCTTTTATTTTAAGTTCAGGGATACATGTGCAGGATGTGCAGGTTTGTTACATAGCTAAATGTGTGCCATGGTGGTTTACTGCACAGATCATCCCATCACCCAGGTATTAAGCCCAGAATCCAGTGGCTATTCTTCCTGACACTCTCCCTCCCACCACAACTCCCACAGGTGCCCAGTGTGTGTTGATCCCCCCATGTATCCATGTATTCTCATCCATCAGCTCTCACTTAGAAGTAAGAATATGTGGTATTTAGTTTTCTGTTCCTGCATTAGTTTTCTGAGGATAATAGTTTCCAACTCCAACCATATTCCTACAAAAGGACATGATCTGGTTCCTTTTTATGACTGCATAGTATTCCATGGAATATATGTACCACATTTTCTTTATCCAATTTGTCATTGATAGGTATTTAGGTTAATTCCATGACTTTCCTATTGTAAATAGTGCTGTAACGACATAAAACACCATAAAAAAGTTGACAAAGGACATTAACAGACACTTCTCAAAGGAATATATACATGTGGCCAACAAACATGAAAAAAAATTCAGTATCTCTGATCGTTAGAGAAATACAAATCAAAACCAAAATGAGATACCATCTCAAGTTTGTCAGAATGGCTATTATTAAAATGTCAAAGAATAACAGATGCTGGCGAGGTTGTGGAGGAAAAGGAACACTTTTCCACTGTTGGTGGGAGTGTAAATTAGTTCAGCCACTGTGGAAGACAGTGTGGTGATTCTTCAAAGACCTAGAGGCAGAAATATCATTTGACCCAGCAATCCCAAATATATTACTGGGTATATGCCAAAGGAATATAAATCATTCTATTATAAAGATACATGCATGCATATGTTTGTTGCAGCACTATTTACTATCAATATAGTAAAAAAGGCCATACTGCCCAAAGTAATTTACAGATTCAATGCTATACCTATCAAACTAACACCACCATTCTTCCTAGAATTAGGAAAAACTATTCTAAAACTTATATGGAAGCAAAAAAGAGCCCAAATAACCAAAGCAATACTAAGCAAAAAGAAAAAAGCCAGAAGCATCACAGTAGCCAACTTCAAACTATACTATAAAGCCACAATAACCAAAACAGTTTGGTACTGGTACAAAAACAGACACACAATCCAATAAAATAGAATAGAAAACTCATAAATAAAGCCCCACACCTACAGCCATCTGATATTTGACAAGACCAACAAAAACAAGCAATGAGGAAAGGGCTCCCAATTCAATAAATGATGCTAGAATAACTGCCTAACCTTATGCAGAATATTGAAGTTGAACCCATATCTATCACCTTATATGAGTATCAACTCAAAATGGATTAAAGATTTAAATGTAAGACCTCAAACTATAAAAATCCTAGAAGACAACCTAGGAAATATTTTTCTTGGCATAGGCCTTGGCAAATAATTTTTGGCTAAGTCCCCAAAAGCAAATGCAACAAAAACAAAAATAGACAAGTAGGATTTAATTAAACTAAAGAACTTCTGCACAGTAAAAGAAACTGTCAACAGAGCAAACAGACAATCTATAGAATCAGAGAAAGTATTCATGAACTATGTCTCCAACAAAGGCCTAATATCCAGAACCTATAGGGAAATTAAACAAATCAACAAGAAAAAATCTCCATTGAAAATGGGCAACAGACATGAACAGACACTTATCAAAAAAAGACATATGCTGCCAACAAGCATATGAAAAAATGATCAGCATCACTAATTATTAGAGTAATGCAAGTCAAAAGCACAATGAGATACCATCTCACACCAGTCAGAATGGCTATTATTAAAAAGTCAAAAAACTACAGATGCTGGTAAGGCTGTGGAGAAAAGTGGCACGATCTCAGCTCACTGCAACCTCTACCCCCCAGGGCTCAACCTATTTTCCTGCCTGAGCCTCCCAGGTAGCTGGGATTACAGGTACGTGCTTCTACACCTGGCTGTTTTTTTTCTATTTTCAGTAGAGATAGGGCTTCACCATGTTGGCCAGGCTGGTCTCAAACTCCTGACCTCAAATGATCCACCCACCTCAGCCTCCCAAAGTGTTGGGATTAGTGGCGTGAGCCACTGTTCCCAGCCTATAAAAGGGAACATTTAAACACTGTTGGTAGGAATGTAAATTAGCTCAGCCACTATGGAAAGCAGTTTGGAGATGTCTCAAAGAAATTAAAACAGAACTACCATTCAGCCCAGCAGTCCCATTACTGGGTATATACTGAAAAGAATATAAGTCATTCTACCAAAAAAACACATGCACTCAAATATTCATTACTGTACTATTCACAATAGCAAGACATGGAATCAATCTCGTTGCCCAACTATGGCAGATTGGAGAAAGGAAATATGGGACATATATACCATGCAATACTATGTACCCATTAGAAAGAATGAGATCGTGTCCTTTGCAGCAACATGGATGGAGCTGGAGGGCATAATCCTAAACAAATTAATACAGGAACAGAAAACTGAATACTGCATGTTCTCATTTATAAGTGGGAGCTAAGTATTGACCACATGTGGATATAAATATGACAACAATAGGCACTGTGGCCTACTAGAGGTGGAAGGTGGTGGTGGGTTTAAAAACTACCTATGTAGTACTATGCTTACTACCAAAGTGATGGGATCCATACTCCAAACCTGAGTACTGTGTAACATTCCCATGTAACAATTCTGCACATGTAACCCCCCACACCTTTATCTGAAAGAAAAGTTGAAATAAAAAAATGAAAATATACACTTAATTTAAACTGCATTCTAGACAAAATGAACCTAACAGACATTTATAATACGTGTCACCCAACAGCTAGAGAATATACATTCTTCACCATAGCACATGGAAGATTCTCCAGACCATATATTAGGCGACAAAACAAGTTTTAACAATTTTTTTAATTGAAATCATATGAAGTATATTTTATGATTACAATGGAATAAAACTATGAATCAATAACAGAAGGAACTTTGGAAACTGTTCAAATACATGAAAATTAAACAACATGTTCATGAAAAAAACAATGCATCAAAGAAAAGAAAGTTTTTTAATTTAAAAATTCCTTGAGACAAATGAAAAATGAAAATACAACATACAAAAGCCTATATAATATAGGAAAAATGGCCCTAAAATAAAGTTTATAGCAATAAACACCTACATGAAAAAAAACTAGAAAGAACTCAAATAAACAACCTAACATTACTCCTCAAAGAACTAAAAAAAAAAGAACAATCCGAAAATAAGTAGAAGGAACAAACTAATAAAATCAGAGCAGAAATAAACAAAAAAGAGATTAAAAAATATAAAAGATGAACAAAACAAAAAGCTGTATTTTGAAAAGATAAACAAACTTGACAAACCTTTAGATAGACTAAAAATAAAAGTGAGGAAATTCAAATAACTAAAACAAGAGAAGAAAAGGGTAACATTGCAGCTGATGCCACAGAAATACAAAGGATCATAAGAGGCTACTACAAACAACTATATGCCAACAAATTGGAAAACCTAGAGGAAATGGATAAATTCTTGGACACACGCAAGTTACCAAGATTGCATCATGAAGAAATAGAAAATCTCAACACACCAATAATGAGAAACAAAATCAAAAGCAATAATTAGAAGCTTTCCATCAAAGAAAAGCCCAGGAACCTTGATGGGTTCACTGCTGACTGCTACCAAAATTTAAAGAAGAACTAATGCCAGTTCTATTCAAACTATCCCAAAAACTTGAAGAGGAAGGAATACTTCCAGCACATTCTACAAGGCCAGCATTACTCTGATTAAAAAAAAAAAAAAAAAAAAAAAAGACATGGACTCAACAGAAAATAAAACTACAGGTCAGTATCACTGATGAAAATTTATGCAGAATTTTTCAACAAAAGACTAACAAACCAAATTTAACAACACATTAAAAAGATCATTTACCATGATCGAGTGGGATTCATATCAGGGAAGTACAGATGGTTCAATATCCACAAACAAATAAATGTGACACATCACATTAACAGAATAAAGGACAAAAAACATACTGATTTCCATAGTGTTTACACTAATTTATATACCCACAAACAGTGTATGAGTTCCCTTTTCTCCATATCCTTGAAAGATTTTGTTATTTTTGTCATTTTTATAATAGCCATTCTGACATGGATAAAGTGATATCTCACTATGGTTTTCATTTGAATTTCTCTGATGATTAGTGATGTTGAACATTTTTTCATATATTTGTTGGCCATTTGTATGTCTTCTTTTGAGAAATATCTATTCACATCTTTAGCCCATTTTTAAAATAAGATTTGTATTAGTCTGGTTCCACATTGCTAATAAAGAAATACCTGAGACTGGGTAATTTGCAAAGAAAAGAGGTTTAATTGGCTCATGGTTCTGCAATGAATACTATCCAGTTGTATTCGTACACTTTCATGTTGCTGATAAAGACAGATCTGTAACTGGGCAATTTACAAAAGAAAGAGGTTTAATGGACTTACAGTTCCAGGTGACTGGGGAGGCCTTACAATCATGTCAGAAGGTGAAAGGCACGTCTCACATGGTGGCAGCCAAGAGAAGAGAATGAGGAAGAAGTGAAAGCAAAAACCCCTTATAAAACCATCAGAGCTCATGAGACTTATTCACTAGCAGCAGTATGGGGGAAATCGCCCTCGTGATTCATTATCTCCCACTGGGTCCCTCCCACAACATGTGGAAATTATAGGAGTACAATTCAAGAAGAGATTTGGGTGGGAACATAGCCAAACCATATCACCAGCCATAAAACAGAAATGGTGCCCTGTCATTTGCAACAACATGGATGAACCTAGAGGAATATTATGTCAAGTAAAACAAGCCAGGCAAGAAAGACAAACTCCATATGATCTCACTCATATGTGGAATCTAAAAAAGTTGATTTTATGGAAATAGTAGAATAGTGCTTATCAGAGGCTGTGGAGGGGTTGGGGGAGGAGGAACAGCAAGTGGCTTATTAATGCGTACACAGATACAGTTAGACATGAAGAAGAAGTTTTAGTGTTCTGTTCCACAGTAGGGTACTACAGCAAATAACATTGTAGTGTATAATTCAAGATAGCTAGACAAGAAGATTTTGAATGTTATTACCATAAAAATGACCAGTTCTTCTAGCGATATATATGGTAATTTCCCTGATTCAATCATTATACTATGTATACATGGACTAAAACACCATATTGTACCCCATGAATGTGTACCATTATGTCAATTATAAATTAAAATCTTAAATAAAAAGGAAGAGAGGCTTAGACTACAATAAAGAGTGACACCATTTAATTGTGAAGCCTCTGAATTGTTAAAAATATGCCAGAAATCAAAGTTTCCATTCATTTTTATAAAAATTTAAGTAAAAGACCACAATTCAATTAAATGAATTGAAAAGACCAATTAATTTTCAAAATAATTTTGAAAATTAATTTTCAAAATAATTTTGAAAATTAATTTTCAAAAAAAGACCAAATTAATTTTCAAAATAAACTATGAAGTTACATGTAAAAATCATGAAAGTGTTTCTACTGCAAGGATATGGAAACACTCTATTACTTCATATACTATATGCACTTAAAAAGTTGAAAGTCAATTTTATTTTTCCAAGAGTATTAATCTTTTTTAAAAAGTTTAAACATTTTAAAACAGAAATAATTGATTTAAAAATCAGAATGAATAAAAAAAGATTCCAACATAAAGAAATAAATTAAAGAGAAGTAAACATGGATTGGGTAGAAGAAACAAAAAGCAGCTCAAAATATTTAAATCCAAATGTGTCAATAATTACAATAATTTTAAATTAAAACATTGAAACGTTCTATGAATAAAAAAAGACAGTCACACTGGATTTGTAAACAAAAAAAAATCTAACTATAGGTGATTTACAAGCTATGTCAGTAAATTATAAAAATCCAGAAAGACAGAAAACAAGTAGATGAAAAGAGATACACCACACATACACTAACAAAAATCACCATAGTATGTCAATGTAAGACACAATAGGATTTAAGGCAAATAACCTTACCAGAGATTCAGAAGGTTCCTTTCATGAAATGAAAAAGTTGAGTTTGCCAGAAATATGGAATTTTTATACATATGCACCAATAACATAAGCAGCATTTAAAAAGAAGACAAAACTACAAGAAGAAATAGATAAATCCAAAATAATAGGAGGAGAATTCAACATGCCTCTCTTAGTAAATGTCAGAACTAACAAAAAATTAAAGGAAATCAAAAAATAAATACTACTTTAAATAGCACAATTTAATGCATGTTTCTACAGTCCTAACGTGATACACATCCATAAACCAAATTCTGCTTAATTTATTCAAAGTTAACTTTAATTTAAAATAATTTAATAATATTCATCATTACATTTACTGCTGAGTCTTTTTCTTCTAACAGTTCTAAGTGTCAGGCAAAATATTTTCATCTAATTCATCATCCATACTCTAGGATACAATAAGAAAATCTTTTTAAGAACTAAATGAGGTGCTGGAGCCAAGATGGCTGAACAGGAACAGCTCCAGTCTACAGATCCCAGTGTGAGTGACGCAGAAGACGGATGATTTCTGCATTTCCAACCGAGGTACTGGGTTCATCACACTGCGGAGTGTCAGACAGTGGTTGCAGGACAGTGGGTGCGGGGCACCGAGCCTAAGCTGAAGCAGGGTGAGGCATCACCTCACCTGGGAAGTGCAAAGGGTCAGGGAATTCCTTTTCCTAGTCAAAGAAAGGGTGGCACCCTTTTCCAGGTGGCACCTGGAAAATTGGGTCATTCCCAAACTAATACTGCGCTCTTCCAACGGTCAGCAAACAGCACACCAGGAGATTATATCCCGCACCTGGCTCGGAGGGTCCTACGCCCACGGAGCCTCGCTCATTGCTAGCACAGCAGTCTGAGATCAAACTGCAAGGCGGCAGCCAGGCTGGGGGAGGGGCGCCCGCCATTGCCAAGGCTTGAGTAGGTAAACAAAGCGGCTGGGAAACTCAAACTGGGTGGAGCCCACCACAGCTCAAGGAGGTCTCACTGCCTCTGTAGACTCCACCTCTGGGGGCAGGGCATTGCCAAACAAAAGGCAGCAGAAACCTCTGCAGACTTAAATGTCCCTGTCTGACAGCTTTGAAGAGAGTAGTGGTTCTCCCAGCATGGAGTTTGAGATCTGAGAACGGACAGACTGCCTCCTCAAGTGGGTCCCTGACCCGAGTAGCCTAACTGGGAGGCACCCCCCAGTAGGGGCAGACTGACACCTCACATGACCTAGTACTCCTCTGAGACAAAACTTCCAGAGAAACGATCAGGAAGCAACATTTGCTGTTCACCAATACCAGCTGTTCTGCAGCCTCTGCTGCTGATACCCAGGCAAACAGGGTCTGGAGTGGACCTCCAGCAAACTCCAACAGACCTGCAGCTGAGGGTCCTGACTGTTAGAAGGAAAACTAACAAACGGAAAGGACATCCACACCAAAACCCCATCTGTTCGTCACCATCATCAAAGACCAAAGGTAGATAAAACCACGAAGATGGGGAAAAAACAGAACAGAAAAACTGGAAACTCTAAAAATCAGAGCACCACTCCTCCTCCAAAGGAACGCAGCTCCTCACCAGCAACGGAACAAAGCTGGATGGAGAATGACTTTGACGAGTTGAGAGAAGAAGGCTTCAGACGATCAAACTACTCCAAGCTAAAGGAGGAAGTTCGAACCCATTGCAAAGGAGTTAAAAACTTTGAAAAACAATTAGATGAATGGCTAACTAGAATAACCAATGCAGAGAAGTCCTTAAAGGACCTGATGGAGCTGAAAACCAAGGCATGAGAACTACGTGACAAATGCACAAGCCTCAGTAGCCGATTCGATCAACTAGAAGAAAGGGTATCAGTGATGGAATATCAAATGAATGAAATGAAGTGAGAAGAGAAGTTTAGAGAAAAAACAATAAAAAGAAACGAACAAAGCCTCGGAGAAATATGGGACTATGTGAAAAGACCAAATCTACATCTGATTGGTGTATCTGAAAGTGACAGGGAGAATAGAACCAAGCTGGAAAACACTCTTCAGGATATTATCCAGGAGAACTTCCCCAATCTAGCAAGGCAGGCCAACATTCAAATTCAGGAAATACAGAGAACGCCACAAAGATGTGCTTTGAGAACAGCAACTCCAAGACACATAATTGTCAGATTCACCAAAGTTGAAATGAAGGAAAAATGTTAAGGGCAGCCAGACAGAAAGCTCAGGTTACCCACAAAGGGAAGACCATCAGAGTAACAGCGGATCTCTCGGCAGAAAATCCATACCTAATGCTAGATGACACATTAGTGGGTGCAGCGCACCAGCATGGCACATGTATACATATGTAACTAACCTGCACAATGTGCACATGTACCCTAAAACTTAGAGTATAATAAAAAAAAAAAGAAAAAAAAAAAGAAAATCTACAAGCCAGAAGAGACTGGGGGCCAATATTCAACATTCTTAAAGAAAAGAATTTTCAACCCAGAATTTCATATCCAGCCAAACTAAGCTTCATAAGTGAAGGAGAAATAAAATCCTTTACGGACAAGCAAATGCTGACAGATTTTGTCACCACCAGGCCTGCCCTAAAAGAGCTCCTGAAGGAAGCACTAAACATGGAAAGGAACAACCAGTACCAGCCACTGCAAAAACAGGCCAAATTGTAAAGACCATAGAGGCTAGGAAGAAACTGCATCAACTAACGAGCAAAATAACCAGCTAACATCATAATGACAGGATAAAATTCACACATAACAATACTAACCTTAAATGTAAATAGGCTAAAAGCTCCAATTAAAAGACACAGACTGGCAAATTGGATAAAGAGTCAAGACCCATCAGTGTGCTGTATTCAGGACACCCATCTCACGTGCAGAGACACACATAGGCTCAAAATAAAGGGATGGAGGAAGATCTACCAAGCAAATGCAAAACAAAAAAAGTACTTTAAACCAACAAAGATCAAAAGAGACAAAGAAAGCCATTACATAATGGTAAAGGGATCAATTTAACAAGAAGAGCTGACTATCCTAAATATGTATGCACCCAATACAGGAGCACCCAGATTCATAAAGCAAGTCCTTAGAGACCTAGAAAGAGACTTAGACTCCCACAAAATAATAATGGGAGACTTTAACACCCCACTGTCAACATTAGACAGATCGACGAGACAGAAAGTTAACAAGGATATCCAGGAACTGAACTCAGCTCTGCACCAAGAAGACCTAATAGACATCTACAGAACTCTCCACCCCAAATCAACAGAATATACATTCTTCTCAGCACCACACCACACTTATTCCAAAACTGACCACACAGTTGCAAGTAAAGCACTCCTTAGCAAATGTAAAACAACAGAAATTGGTCGGGTGCAGTGGCTCACGCTTGTAATCCCAGCAATTTGGGAGGCCGAGGCAGGCGGATCACGAGGTCAGGAGATCGAGACCATGGTGAAACCCCATCTCTACTAAAAATAACAAAAAATTAGCCGGCAGTGCTGGCGGGCACCTGTAGTCCCAGCTACTCGGAGAGGCTGAGGCAGGAGAATGGCGTGAAGCCAGGAGGCAGAACTTGAAGTGAGCCGAGATCGTGCCACTGCACTCCAGCCTGGACGACAAAGCTAGACTCCATCTCAAAAAAAAAAAAAAAACAGAACAGAAATTATAACAAACTGTCTCTCAGACCACAGTGCAATCAAACTAGAACTCAGGATTAAGAATCTCACTCAAAACCGCTCAACTACATGGAAACTGAACAACCTGCTCCTGAATGACTACTGGGTACATAACGAAATGAAGGCAAAAGCCAAAATTAAAGATGTTCTTTGAAACCAACGAGAACAAAGACACAACATACCAGAATCTCTGGGACACATTCAAAGCAGTGTGTAGAGGGAAATTTATAGCACTAAATGCCCACAAGAGAAAGCAGGAAAGATCTAAAATGGACACCCTAACATAACAATTAAAAGAACTAGAGAAGCAACAGCAAACACATTCAAAAGCTAGCAGAAGGCAAGAAATAACTAAGATCAGAGCAGAACTGAAGGAAATAGAGACCCAAAAAACCCTTCAAAAAAATCAATGAATCCAAGAGGTGGTTTTTTGAAAAGATCAACAAAATTGATAGACCGCTAGAGCAAGACTAATAAAGAAGAAAAGAGAGAAGAATGAAATAGAAGCAATAAAGAATAATAAAGAGGACATCACCAGCGATCCCACAGAAATACAAACTACCATCAGAGAATACTATACACATCTCTATGCAAATAAACTAGAAAATCTAGAAGAAATGGATAAATTCTTCAAAACAAACATCCTCCCAAAACTAAACCAGGAAGAAGTTGAATCTCTGAATAGACCAATAACAGGCTCTGAAATAGAGGCAATAATTAATAGCTTACCAACCAAAAAAAGTCCAGGACCAGATGGATTCACAGCCGAATTCTACCAGAGGTACAAGGAGAAGCTGGTACCATTCCTTCTGAAACTATTCCAATCAATAGAAAAAGAGGGAATCCACCCTAACTCATTTTATGAGGCCAGCATCATCCTGATACCAAAGCCTGACAGAGACACAACAAGAAAAGAGAATTTTAGACCAATATCCTTGATGAACATCAATGCAAAAATCCTCAATAAAATACTGGCAAACTGAATCCAGAAGCACATCAGAAAGCTTATCCACCATGATCAAGTGGACTTCATCCCTGGGATGCAAGGCTGGTTCAACATACACAAATCAATAAATGTAATCCAGCATATAAACAGAACCAAAGACAAAAACCACATGATTATCTCAATAGATGCAGAAGAGGCCTTTGACAAAATTCAACAACCTTCATGCTAAAAACTCTCAATACATTAGGTATTGATGGGACGTATCTCAAAATAATAAGAGCTATTTATGACAAACCCACAGCCAATATCATACTGAATGGGCAAAAACTGGAAGCATTCCCTTTGAAAACTGGCACAAGACAGGGATGTCCTCTCTCACGACTCCTATTCAACTTAGTTTTGGAAGTTCTGGCCAGGGCAATCAGGCAGGAGAAGGATATAAAGGGTATTGAATTAGAAAAAGAGGAAGTCAAATTGTCCCTGTTTGCAGATGACATGATTGTATATCTAGAAAACCCCATCGTCTCAGCCCAAAATCTCTTTAAGCTGTTAGGCAACTTCAGCAAAGTCTCAGGATACAAAATCAATGTGCAAAAATCACAAGCATTCTCATACACCAATAACAGACAAACAGAGAGCCAAATCATGAGTGAATTCCCATTCACAATTGCTTCAAAGAGAATAAAATACCTAGGAATACAACTTACAAGGGATGTGAAGGACCTCTTCAAGGAGAACTACAAACCACTGCTCGATGAAATAAAAGAGGATACAAATAAATGGAAGAACATTCCATGCTCATGGGAAGGAAGAATCAATATCGTGAAAATGACCATACTGCCCAAGGTAATTTATAGATTCAAGGCCATCCCCATCAAGCTACCAATGACTTTCTTCACAGAATTGGAAAAAACTACTTTAAAGTTCATATGGAACCAAAAAAGAGCCCACATCACCAAGTCAATTCTAAGCCAAAAGAACAAAGCTGGAGGTACCACGCTACCTGACTTCAAACTATACTACAAGGCTACAGTAACCAAAAGAGCATGGTACCGGTACCAAAACAGAGCTATAGACCAATGGAACAGAATAGAGTCCTCAGAAATAATGCCGCATATCTACAACTATCTGATCTTTGACAAACCTGACAAAAACAAGAAATGGGGAAAGGATTCCCTAGTTAATAAATGGTGCTGGGAAAACTGGCTAGCCATATGGAGAAAGCTGAAACTGGATCCCTTCTTTACACCTTATACAAAAATTAATTCAAGATGGATTAAATACTTAAACATTAGACCTAAAACCATAAAAACCCTAGAAGAAAACCTAGGCAATACCATTCAGGACATAGGCATGGGCAAGGACTTCATGTCTAAAACACCAAAAGCAATGGCAACAAAAGCCAAAATTGACAAATAGGATCTAATTAAACTAAAGAGCTTCTGCACAGCAAAAGAAACTACCATCAGAGTGAACAGGCAGCCTACAGAATGGGAGAAAACTTTTGCAATCTACTCATCTGACAAAGGGCTAATATCCAGAATCTACAATGAACTCAAACAAATTCACAAGAAAAAAACAAACAACCCCATCAAAAAGTGGGCGAAAGATATGAACAAACACTTCTCAAAAGAAGACATTTATGCAGCCAACAGACACATGAAAAAATGCTCATCATCACTGGCCATCAGAGAAATGCAAATCAAAACCACAGTGAGATACCATCTCACACCAGTTAGAATGGCGATCATTAAAAAGTCAGGAAACAACAGGTGCTGGAGAGGATGTGGAGAAATAGCAACACTTTTACACTGTTGGTGGGACTGTAAACTAGTTAAACCATTGTGGAAGTCTGTGTGGCGATTCTTCAGGGATCTGGAACTAGAAATACCATTTGACCCAGCCATCCCATTACTGGGTATATACCCAAAGGATTATAAAACATGCTCCTATAAAGACACATGCACACATATGTTTATTGCGGCACTATTCACAATAGCAAAGACTTGGAACCAACCCAAATGTCCAACAATGATAGACTGGGTTAAGAAAATGTGGCACATATACATCATGGAATACTATGCAGCCATAAAAAAGGATGAGTTCATGTCCTTTATAGGGACATGGATGAAGCTGGAAACCATCATTCTCAGCAAACTATCGCAAGGACAAAAAACCAAACACCGCATGTTCTCACTCATAGGTGGGAATTGAACAGTGAGAACACATGGACACAGGAAGGGGAACATCACACAATGGAGACTGTTGTGGTGTGGGGGTAGGGGGAGGGATAGCATTAGCAAATATACCTAATGTTAAATGAGGAGTTAATGGGTGCAGCACACAAACATGGCACATGTATACATATGTAACAAACCTGCACGTTGTGCACAGGTACCCTAAATCTTAAAGTATAATAAAAAATAAAAAATAAAAAAAAGAACTAAATGAAAACCAGATCTGTGGTGTTAAGTACTATACTTGCAATATATGCTAATGACTCAATAATACTGTCTCACTTCACATGATATAAGCAAATCACACTTTGTGGTAATAAACTATTAGTAGAGACCAACTAGTTGAAGTATAAGCTTTATGCTACTTTTTAGATACACAGAGGTGTCTTTAGAATAAAGTTTAAAATATTTGGTATCATTTGTCCAAGGAAAAAATATGTAATGATATTAAGTAATAGGGCATAAAGAAGAGTAAAAGAAACTTACCAGGCAGATAAAATAGGAAGGACAAAGAAATGGTATACTTAAACATAGAAATTATCAATAATAAGACTAAATGTGTTTAGGAGAGCTAATTAAAAGACAAAAATATTAGACTGAATTTGAAAAATATACAACTATGAGCTTCATGCAAGAGATACAGAAAAAAAAAACACAAAGAGGAATGTTAAGTTACCAGGATGAAATATAAAATGTATCATGCAAATACCAATCAGAAGAAAGTTGGTAGATTTACATTAATAGCAGATGTGATAGTTTTGTTTGTTTGTTTGTTTTGGGTTTTGTTTTGTTTTGTTTTTGTGGCAATGAGGGTCTCACTTCATTGCCCAGGCTGGTCTTGAATTCCTGGCTTCAAGAGATCCACTCACCTTTACCTCCCAAAGTGCTGGGATTATGGGGAGACATGATAGTTTTTAAGGCAAACAAACAAAAGCTATAAAAATGATAAAGCAGGTCCCTTCATTAGGAAAAAGTTTATTTCTTCCAGTAAGATTGTTAATTTTAAATTTATATGTACATTAATAATAAAATGTCATAAGATATAAAGTAAAACCTGACATTATTATAAAAAGGAACAAGGAAATTCACAATCATAGTGGAAAAATTAACACATCTAATTCAGTAATTATAGAGACACCAGTATAGATCTAGAAGTATACACAAAATAATTACAAAAAAAGTTGTAGATATATTCATGAACCATAAAAAAAGCTGTTTAATATAATTGAAAATAATTTTATAACATTTTAAACTTACTACTTACAATGAAAACTCTCATTTCTGGTAGCTTTAAGATTTTTAGTTTCAGATTGGATTCTTGAAACTAAAACCATGTCCTCAGGCAATTGTGGGGTTGTAAGAGTCTCTGAACAGAAAAACAGATCTATGATAAAACTTCTGTATATGTCAAGTAATCAGCAATACTTCCTCTCATTTGTGTAAAATTAATGGAATAGGACTAGGAAGTTACAGCAGTGAGGTATTCGTTAAAATAGACCGTGGATGCGAAGCAGAAAATTCTCATGTGTGGAGGCAATCTTGTTACATGGTAGTCACTGACTATGCAAATACCAATCAAAAGGTATTAAAGCTTTCACTTTAGTTCTCTAGTTATTTTGCAGTATTCACATTTAGGTCAAAGTATAAAATTTCTACAAATTATATGTTCAAATATTCATGATGCAAAGAAAAAAGACCTCTGATGAGTTAACTTAAAATAGTGTGAAGGGCCAAGTGCAGTGGCTCACACCTGTAATCCCAGCACTTTGGGAGGCCAAGGTGGGTGGATCACGAGGTCAGGAGTTCGAGACCAGCCTGATCAACATGGTGAAACCCCGTCTCTACTAAGGATACAAAAATTAGCCAGGCATGGTGACGTGCACCTGTAATCCCAGCTACTCGGGAGTCTGGGGCAGGAGAATCGCTTCAACCCGGAAGATGGAGGTTGCAGTGAGCCAAGATCATGCCACTGCACTCCAGCCTGGGTGACAGGGCGAGACTCCATCTCAAAAAATAAAAATAAAATAGTGTAAAGATATGTATAATTATTATACTTACCCTCATGTCTTTCCATACTAGAAGTTCTTTGTTTCATTTGTTCTATTTGGACTTTTGTTACTGAATCTTTATTTTCAACCATAAGATTTTCATCTGGAACTTCACTGTCAGCTACATAAAAAGATTCATTTAGTCTACCAAATAGAGAAAGAGCTCTATTGTGAAATCTCCAAATTTCACATTTTAAACATGTACACAGCAGCATTTTCTCTCATTCTCATAAAGTCATGAGTAAATTACCATTGAGATAGATCTCACATGAAAATTGTGAGAAGTTTTAATAGGTGTATGTTGCTGTTTCATTATTTCCAGGCATAATGTTAAGTAGGCAGAAAGCAAATAAACAAAAATAGAAAAAATGCATATCTAGAATGCTACCTTTTAGATAAGAATGAAGGAGAGATGAAGAAAAATATTGAAATAGACAGAAAATTAATTTCATGAAATGTAATACAAGAAAAACAAACCGGAAAACAATATACATGGTTACCTTTACTGGAGAAATACAAAGGGAAGAGATACAGGAGGAATGAAACTGCTCTAAGTATACCTTCTGCATATTTTTCACTTTGGGAAGTAAGTTAATGCACAATTCCAAAACATATATATATACACACACACACACATATATATACACACACACACACACACACACACACACACACACATATATATATATATACACAAAGCTAAATCAATAGAATTAGAAAGGGAAACTATAACTCAAAGAAATAAGTGAACCTACTGAGGAAAGAAACAAAGCATTAATTCAAGTAACTTGTGAATAAAAATTTGACAAATATTCTCAGTCTTGGTCAAGAGAGTGGGGTGCAAATAAAGTCACAAAATATTTTAGTAAATTTGTTTTTCTAGTGCTATGAGCTAAGCAATTCTAAAACAAATTGAGGAGCATTAGGGGATAAAGCAAATGAGTACATGTGTTGTTAATGTTCAGTCAGGTTTACACTGTGGAAAAGAAAACAAATACATACAAAATGAAGGAAGGCAAGAATAAGACCTGAGAGGATAAACTGGAATTGAAGATGTCCATGAGAATTCCTCATTTCTAAATATGTTTATTTGCATGTATATGCATGTTTGTGTACATAAGAACATGTGTGTATGAATGTGTGTGTGTGTGTGTGTGTGTGCGTGCACGCGCGCAAACTGAGGAGCCCTGTGTGTATGTGCAAACTGAGGAGCCCTGTGTGTACGTGCAAATTGAGGAGACCAGCTCCAGGTTAAAATCCTATGTGTGAACTTTCATGCCCAATCATTAGCAATTACAGATAGATACTACAACAATCATAGGTGGAGACTTTAACATCCCACTTTAAATAATAGACTGAACAACTAAGCATTAGATCAAGAAGAAAATAGAATTGAAGAATACAATAAATTAAGTAGAGCTCACTGGAAGTCTACAGATACCCATAGAAGGCTCCACCCAACAGACAAATACGTGTTGCTCTAAAATATACTTGGAAATCTCTAAGATATGCAATATGTTAGGCCATAAATCAAGCCTTGAGAAATTTAATAGTATTAAACTCATGCCAAAGTTGTTCTTCAATCTATATGAACTGACATTAGAAATCAATAACAGGAGGAGATTTGAGGAATTCACAAATAAGTGGAATTTAAACAACACACTCCTAAATGACCAATGGGTCAAGGAAAAAATCATAAGGGAGACTAGAAAATAGGTTGAGGTGAAGAAAAACAAAAACACATCACATGAAAACTATGGGATGCAGCTAAAGTGATGCTTAGAGGAATTTTACAGCTGCAAACTTACACTGAAAAAGAAAAGAGACCTCAGTCAACAAAACTTCTACCTTATAAGCTAGAAAAAGAAGAGGACATTAAAGTAAGCAGAAAGAATATATATATTTATTTATATAAATAAAAGAAAGAATAAGAAAAGAGCAAAAATCAACAATCCCATGCTGGCTTGGTTTAATAACTGAAAATCGATATACTAAACGATATTAATAAATGATTCCCTTTATAATCATCTCAATAGTTCGAAAAAAAGCAAACTCCAAATCCTTTTTTAGAAAAACACTCAACAAACTGAAAATGAAAGGGAATTTCATAGCTAGCATTATACTTAATGGTTAATGCTTTCCCACTAAAGTAAAAACAAGATAAGGATGTCTTATCACTTCTGTTTAACACTACAATGGAGTTTCTAGCCAGAGAAATTAGACCCCCCCCCCCCCAAAAAAAAGAAATAAAATGTATCTGGATTGAAAAGGAAGAAGTAAAACTCTCAACTTACAAATGTTTTATAAAGAAATTTAAGAAACACCTATACACACACAAATACATCCCAAAGAGGGAATAATAAACCTATTAGAAGAAATCAATTTAGCAAAGATTTCAAATTATAAGATCAATATACTAAACTCAATTGTATTTCTATATACTAGCAATTAGCAGTTTGAAAATTAATAATAGTATCAAAATGAAACAGTTAAAGAATGACTTTTAAAAAAATAAGTATAAAGTCCTGTATACTAAAAATACAAAGAATCATTGAAAGTAATTGAAGAATATATGATAAATGAGAAGACAACCTGTGGTTATGTATTGTTAGACAATATTGTTAAAAGGACAATACATTCCAACTGATTTACAGATTTGACTTAATCCCTATCGAAATACCAATTAGTGTTTTTTTTTTTTTGTAGAAATTGAGAAGGCAACACTAAAACTTATATGTAAATTTAAGGCATCCAGAACCACCAAAACATGAGAAAAAACTATTTGGAGGCCTGTCACTCCCAATTTAAAAACTTGGTACAAAATTTCAGTAATCAAGAGTGTGGCACTGGCATAAGCAAAGGCATATACATAAATGCAATAGAATTGAGAGTTCAGAAACAAACCCTTACATTTATGGCCAAGCAATTTTTTCTACAAGAGCACTAAGAAAATTCAGTGGGGAGAAAATAGTATTTTCAAAAACTAGTGCTGGGAACTGAATATACAGATGTAAAAGAATAAACATGAACTCTCATCTCACACTACAGGCAACTCAAAGTGGACTGCAGACCTAAATATTAAGAGTTAAAACTATAAAACCCTTTATAAAAAAATAGAGAAGTAAATTTTTGTGATTTTGCTTTAGGCAATGGTTTCTTGGATATGACACCAAAAGCACAAGTTAACAAAAGAAAATATAGATAAATTGAACTTCACAATTAAAATTTTTTTTGCTTCAAATGACACCATCATCTAGAGGTTTCATCATTCACTCACATGTCTGCCTCAGCTAAAGCTGTTAACCAGAGAACCTACATATGGCCTTCCTTTGCCTTGAGCTTCTCACAGAATGGCAGCTGGATTCTGAAAGAAAATATCTTAACATAAATCTTCCAGAGATTGTGTGCCAAGAGCCAGGCAGACACTGCATGGCATCACTTCTACCCATTCTATTAATGAAAATGAATATAAGCCAGCTAAACTCACAAGAGGTTGGGTAGACCCCATTTCCTGACTGGAAGAAGACTCAAAGAATTTGGGGCTATATTTTCTAACTGACACAGCATATAAATTATAAAAATTGATCTTAATTTACAATTATTTTGGATCAACCCAGTAATGAATATTATACAGATCAGAATGATCCATGTGCTGAGAAATATGTTTATTCTGCAACCAATAAATAAAATATTCTTTAAATATCTACTAGGCCAATTTATAGTGCAGATTAAGTTCGAAGTTCCTTTGTTGATTTTTTGTCTGGGAGATCTGTTCAATGCTATAAGTGGAGTGCTGAAATCTAGCTATTATTGTATCGGGGTCTGTCTGTCTCTTTAGCTCTAATATTTGCTTTATCTATCTAACAAAAATAAGCAATGGGAAAAGGACTCCCTGTACTAACCCCACTCCCTGCACTAACCTCACATTGAGAACAGCACCTTATATTAAGGAAGGAAGCCCCTATTACAAGCTTCTTCCCAAGAAGTAAGGGGCTTGTTTCATATATATATACACATACATATATATGCATATATATACATATATACACACACACATATATATGGTACCCATATATATATTTCCATATGTATATATGGTACCCAACTTTTACACTCTATGCCATAGGGCTTGGCACTTAAATCATGCTTGAGGAACAGCAGGGACAGGGGGATCAGAGGATTTCCCTCAAGGACAAAAAAAACAAAGGGGCAGTTTGAACCATGTGAACATTCCCAGCACTAATACCCCTGAGAACAGCTCAGATTTCTCCTAGAAAGGGCTTGGCCACATACTTTTCCAGCAGCTCCCTGCAGTTCTGGCTTCTAACAAGCCAATATCTGGGAGTCTACATAGTAGAAAAACAGGAAGCACAGCAATCCCTGTGCCTTTCTTCCTGGCTTGCTTCAGCAATAACTCCAAACTAGAAGACTCCCTCTCTACAAGGTGGGTTTGAAACTTCTGTTTCTTTGAACAGGAGATTAGGCACTCTAGCGCTTTCTTCCTGAGGATGCTCCTGCAATAATTCCAGCCTTACAATATCACTGTGAAAAGAGGTTGGAGTCCCCTGCCAGTGAGAATGGAAGGGATGGCACCCTCTGTGCCTTCTCTGGATTTCTACTCAGATAAATTCCTGAAATCTCTCACTGGAGAGAGGCTAGGGGACCTCTCCAAGCCAAAAAGGAAAAAGTGCCTACTCCCTGCACCTTCTTCTCTGGCTTGCTTCAAAGGCAACTCCAGACCCAAAGTCTCCCCCACTGCTAGGAGGGTGTGAGACTTCTGCTTGCTTGAACAAAATAGTGAGCACCCTCGCACATTCTTCCCTGGGTTCCTCTAGCAATAAATCCAAAGCTGAGGACTCTCTCTCTTGTAGTTTATATGCACATCAAGGAGACCGACTTTTGTAGCCTTCACCCAATAAACTGACTCTCAAATCACCTATCTGTGGGAGCTGACACAGCTCTGAACTCCTGAGTCTCCTAGACCACAAGAACAAAAAGGTGACTTTTAAACTTGCCAATATTCAGTAGTTATCTCCCCAGGAAACCAAAAGAGAGCAGAGGTCACTATACTTATATCAAAAAAATAAACTTCCAGTCAAAAACTGTAAAAAGGGACAAAGAAGCATACTATGTAATGATAAAGGGGTCAATTCATCAAAAGAATGTAACACTTGTAAATATATATGCTGTAAATACCGGAGAACCTAAAAACATAAAGCAAATATTAAATGTCTGAAGGGAAAAACAACTGTAATACAATAATAGTGGAGAACTTTAATACTCCACTTTCAACAATGGACAGATCATACAGATGGAACATTAATAACGAAACACTGGACTTGAACTATACTTTAGATCAAGCGAACCTAATAGATATATACAGAATATTCCATCCAACAGCACTAGAATGCACATTCTTCTCAAGCACATGCAGCCATTCTCTGGAAAAGATCACACATAAGGCACAAAAAAGCCTTTGCAAATTTAAGAAGATTGAAATCATATCAAATATCTTTACTCACCACAATGATATGAAACTAGCAATCAATAGCAGAATAAATTTTAGAAAATTCACAAATACATGGAAATGAAACATGGTCCTGGAAACCAATGTGTTAATAAAGAAATTAAAAGGAAAATTAAAACATACAATGAGACAAATGAAACTGAAAATACAACATACCACAACTTAGGGGATATGGAATATGGCAAAAGCAGTTCTAAGAGAAAAGTTTATATCAATAAATGTCTATATCAAAAAAGATGAAAGATCTCAAAAATTTAACATTATTCGTCAGGGAACTAGAAAAAGAAGAACAAACTAAGCCAAAGTTAGCAGAAAAAGGAAATAATAAAGATTAGAGCAGAAATAAATGAAATAGAGACTAAAAATCAATACAAAAGAACAATGAAACTAAGACTTGATTCTTTGAAATGGTAAAGTTTTAAAAACCTTTAGGTAGACTAAATTTCAAAAAGACTCAAATAAAATCAGAAAAGGAGGTATTACAACTGATGTAACATAAAGACCAAAAAAAAATCAAAATAGACTACTATAAACAATTACATGCCAATAACTGGATAACCTAGAAAAATGAATAAACTCCTAGAAACATACAACCAAGCAAGATTAAATCAGTAAAAAATCTGAACAGTAGAAAATCTGAACAGACCAATAATTAGTAACGAGATTAAGTCAGTAAGAAAAACTCTACCATGAAAGAAAAGTCCTGGATCTTGGAGTTTCTGTGCTCAATTCTACCAAGAATTTAAAAAAGAATTAATACCAATCTTTCTTAAACTGTTCTAAAAAATTGAAAATGAGGGAATACTTCCAATTTTGGTTTACTAGACCACTACTACCCTAATACCAAAACCAGATAAGGACATTACAAGAAAAAAAAATTACTGACCAATATCCTTGATGAACATAGATGCAAAGATACTCAACAAAATACTATCAAACCAAATTCAACAACACATTAACGGTATCACCTATCAAGGTCAAGTGAGATTTATCCTAGGGATGCATAAAAGGTTCAATACATACAAATCAATAAATGTGATATATCATATTAACAGACTAAAGGACAAAAAGCACATGATCATCTCAATAGATGCAGAAGAGGCATTTGACAAAATTCAACATACTTTCATGATTAAAAAAAAACTCTCACCAAATTACATATAGAAGGAATGTATGTAAACAATAAAGGCCATATATGACAAGCCTTCAGGTAACATTATAATCAATAGTTAAAAATTGAAAGCCTTTCCTCTAAGATCTGGACAAGACAAGAATGCCCACTCTCACCACTTCTATTCAGTATTAGTACTGGAAGTCCCAACCAAATAAATTAGGCTAGAGAAAGAAATAAAAGGCATACAAATAGACCAGAAAGAAATAAAATTATCATTGTTTGCTAACAATATAATATTATACATAAAAACCCTTATGACTCCATCAAAAAATGTTGAATTCTATAAAGTTGCGCAATACAAATTAACACACATAAATCAGTAGTGTTTCTATACATTAACAATGAACTATCCAAAACAGAAATGAAGAGAACAATCTGATTTACAACAGCTATTTAAAAAATAAATTAGGAATAAAGTTTGACCAAAGAGATAAAAGACCTGTACACTAAAAATGATAAAACAATTGATGAAAGAAATTGAAGACACAAATAAATGGAAAGATATCCCATGATTTTTAAAAATGTCCACACTACCCAAAGCAATCTATAGTGTCAACGCAATCCTATTAAAATTCCAATGTCACTTTTCACAGACATAGAAAAATTTTACATTCATATGGAACCACAAAAAAAAAAAAACCTGAATAGCCAAGGCAATCATGAACAAAAAGAACAATGCTGTAGGCATCTCGTTACCTGATTTCAAACTATACTACAAAACTATAGTAATTAAAACAGCATGGTACTGCCAAAAAAAGTAGACACACCAACCAATGGAACACGCCAGAAAATGCAGATATGAACCCAGCCTATATAGCCAATTGATTTTCAACAAAGGTGCTAAGAATACACAATGGGGAAAGGATAGTCTTCAATGAATAGTGTTAGGAAAATTGGATACTCACATGCAAAGAATTAAATTGGGCTCTTATCTCACACCATTTACAAAAATTAAACTCACATTAAAATCTAAAGGTAATACCAGAAACTATAAAGCTATTAGAAGAAAACAAAAGTAAAAGCTGCACAGCATTGGTGTAGGCAATTTTTTTTATTTGACCCCAAAAGCACAGGCAACAAAAGCAAAAATAGACAAGTGTGATTACATAAAATTGAAAAGTTTCTGCACAGCAAAGGAAATTATTAATAATTTGAAGAGACAACCTATGAATTAGGAGAAAACATGTACAAGCCATACATTCATCAAGGATTTAATACATAAAATATATAAGGAACTAAATTCAACAGCAAGAAAATAGAAAACCCAATTTAAAAAACAAGTAATGGGACTGAATGTACATTTTTCAAAAGAAGACACAAAAATGGAAAACATATATATTTTTAAAGCTCAACATCATTAATTATTAAGGAAATGAAAATTAAAACCACAATGATATGTCACCTCACATCGGTCAGAATGTCTATTATCAAAAATACCAAAGATAAGTGTTGGTCAGGATATGAAGAAAAGATAACTCTTGTACACTGTTAGCAGGAATGTAAACTAGTACATCAACTATTAAAAACAGTATGGAGGTTCCTCAAAACACTAAAAATAGAATCACCATATGATCTGGCAATTGCATTTCTGAGTATTTACCAAAAGTTTAAAACCCGTTTGTCAAAGAAATGTCTGCACTCCCTTGTTCACTGCAGGCAGCAGTATTCATGATAGCCAAGTAATGGAATCAACCTGTTTATCAATGGATGAATGGATAAAGAAAATGTAGTACATAGAGAGAGTAGAATACTATGTAGCCTTTAAAAATGGAATTCTGTCACTTGCAATGACATGGATAGAACTGTAGAACACTATGCTAAGTGAAATAAGCCAAGCACAGAAAGACAAATACCACATGTTTTCACTTACATGTGGAAGATAAAACAACTGAACTCATAGAAGCAGAGAGCAGAATGGGGGCTGCACAGGCTGCAGGTGGGGGTAATAAAGAGATGATGTCAAAAAGTATAAAATCTCAGTTATTCACGAGGAATAAAGGTTTTTTGATATCTACTGTACAGCATGGTGAATATAATAGCATATTGTACATTTCAAAATTGCTATGAGAGTAAATTTCAAATGTTCTCACTATAAAAAGTGATATTTGAGCTGATGGATGTGTTAATTAGCTTTAAGTACTCCACATTATATTCGTAAATCATAACATTGCTTTATACCCCATAATAAATACAGCTATAAATTTCAATGTATAATAAAATAAATAATAAATAAAATTTAAAAATTTAAACAGTATTGTAATGGTATATAAACAGACACATAAAATAAAAATAATAATAATAAAACAGACACATAGGTCAAACAAATAGGTTAGAGAGCCCAGTAATAAACCGAGGCATATATGGTCAATTAATCTTTGACAGGGGTGCCACCAATACACAATGAAGAAAACATAATTCCTTAAATTAGGTTGAGAAAATTGGATATCCACATGCAAAAAATAAAATTGGACACTTATTTGACACATACACAAAAATCAACTCAATGAATTAAAATTTTAAGCATAATACCATAAAACGTCCAGAAGGAAACATAGGGGAAAAGCTCCTTGCCATAATTCTTGATTTTCTGGGTAGGACACCAAAATCACTGGCAACAAAAGCAAAAATAAACAAGTAGAACCTCTGCAGATTAGTGAAGAACTAAAAAAAAAAAAAAAAAAAAAAAAAACTTGTGCAAAGCAAAGAAAAAAGTCAACGAAATGAAAAGGCAACCTATGGACTGGGAGAAACCATAAATTTGATAAGCAATTAATATAAAAACAAAATATAATGAACTCAAGCAATTCAACACTAAAACCCAAATAATCCAATTAAAAATGGGCAAATGACCAAAATAGACTTTTTCATAAAAGTAGACATACAAATGGCCAGTAAGTATATGAAAAAGTCATCAACACACACACACACCCAGTGCTGTCCTCTAAAACCTGCTGTACAAATTTTCATTCCACGTAGTTGGGAAGATGCAATGGAGGACTCCAAAGCCTTATGGAATGTAGCCACTAGATAGAAGGAGTCTAGGTAACCAGATGACTCTATGGATAAGAAACTTGTCCACTGACTCTCATTAAACTATTAGATGAGAGAGACATAAACAACAGTTATATTAAGGCATTGAGATTTTGACATTGCTTTTGAAGCACTGAGAATACCCTTACCTAAATCAATAAATTTAAAATTAGTGGCATTGGTTTAGCATCTGATTGTTAAAATGCAAAGGAACAGACAGAAACAGCATGCCATTTGGTAGAACTGTTGACTGCTACAACTTGGAAGGCAGACAATGTGTATGCTAAGCCTGCAGCTCTTTGGAAAGTGGTTGGAGAGAATGAGAATGTGATTTATATTTTAAGAAGATCACTCTGGCTGCTATGTGATCAAGATTAGAAATGGGGGAATCAAGCAACTATTGTAATAGTCCAGGGCAACAAAAAAGATAATGGAATAAACTAACATGGTAAATGTGAAAGTGGTGGAGGTGGTGAAAAGTGGTTGAATTTTTTATATATTTTGATAAAAGGAAGAAAAGAATGTTCTAGTGCATTGAATAAGGATTGTGAGAGAAAGTAAGCAGTCAAGAAAAACTCTCAAGGTTTTCAGACTGAATAACTGATATGGTTTGGATACTGGTCCCCGCCACATCTCATGTTGAAATGCAATCCTCAGTGTTGAAAGTGGGGCCCGGTGGGAGGTGTTTGGATTATACGGGAGGATCCCTCATGAACAGTTTAGCACCATCCCCTTGGGAAGAAGTGAGTTCTCACTCAGTTCAGGCGAAATCTGGTTGTTCACGTGTGTAGCACCTCTCCCATTACTCTCTCATTCCCACACTCACCGTGTGACATATCTGCTCCCACTTCACCTTCCTGCACGAGTAGAAGCTCCCTGAGGCCCTCGCCAGAAGCAGATGCCGGCACCATGTTTCTTGTACTGCCTACAGAACCATGAGACAAAATAAGACCTCTTTTCCTTATAAATAACCCAGCCTCAAGTATTTCCTTATGTCAACACAGATGGACTAAAGCAGTATCTGACAGAGTTCTTAATAGTATTTATTGAGGTAAGGCAACTAAGGGAGAAGCAGGTTGTAGAAGAGGGAAAATTAAGACATTAAAACTTACTAAAGTGTTAAAAACAAAGTATTTGTGCAATGATAGATAATTGTATCAATAAAACAGAATAGAAATCCAAAATAGAAATACATAAAAATGAAAATATATTAAAAAATGGCATTTATATTCATTATAGAAAATATGTTTTAATAAATGAAGCTCACATAATCAGGTTATATACCCTATCATATATCAAATACAAAAATAAAATCCAACTGCAATAAAGATCCAACTGTGAAACAAAATAAAATTTCAGAACATATAGGATAATTTTTATAAAACATTTGGAAGGACAAGGCCCTTTTAAATAAAAAAGGAATTCCTGAATTCACAAAAGAAATATAGGTACATTTAATAACACAATATTTTGTGTAACAAACAAAATGTAGTAAGAGTCTAGGAAAGACACTTGCAATCTATATGGCAGGAAAAAGTTAACAAAATCAACATTCCTGATATGTAGGGGACGCTGAAAACTTGATGAGAAAATAAAACAGAAGAACAACATGTTGTATGACACATTCAGAAGAGAGTTTGCGAATTGTCATCAACCATTTGAAAATATGCCAATTTCTGTTAATGTAGTGAATTACACTAATTAATTTTCAAGTGTTAAGCCAACCTTGCAATGCTCAGGCATAAAAACATTTTATTATTATTAATAATATCTATTTTTTAAACTTATTATCATAGAAATAATTATTGCTAACCCTGTAACAGTTTGCAATACAAAGCATATGCCATTTATTTAACACAGTAGTTCTCAACTGGAGGTGTTTTTCCCCCAGGGGACATTTAGCGGTGCTCAATTACATTTTTCTTTCTTACAACTGAGGGTCGCTACTAGCATCTAGTGGATGGAGAACAGGCATGCTGTTAAACATCCTGCAATACATAAGTAAGCCTCTCACAACAGGAATAATCTGGGCCAAAATGTCAACAGTGCAGAGGTTGAGAAACACTGATTAAACAGATCAGTTTAACCAAGACTTGTCAATTCTATATCCTAAAAAAAATTTCAATTCTGAACCACTCCCACCCCCATAGTACATCTTTACTATCACTGCAGTTATTCTTAACTACAAATTTGCCCCTTCAGTCTATTATCTAAATTGCTGCCCAAGCAGGAGAAGGCTCGAATGGAGTTAGGTGGGATGGGGTTAGTTTCATTAAAACACAAATCTATTTATACAATAATTCTTCATTAAATCTCATATTTCCTTTGTTTGAATTTACCTATTTGAGAAAAAAAAATCCAGACAGGGTAGCTAAAACTAGCCAGAGCAAGTAGATAGGACTCTATGGGTCCAATGTTAGAAAAAGGACACTGCCTTTTATCTAAAGCTGTAAGTGAAACTGAGATCATGAGAGTGAGAGTTAGCCAAGAGTCAAAAAGAATCTCAGAATACAGAATGAAGTACACACAGAAGACAGTACATTTGCAAACTGAATTCCGTAGAGAAAGGTGAGAGATAAAACACAGATAAATTGAGTGAACACTTGAATTTGTGAGATCTGAGATTGATAAGCTCTGTAAGTACAATGGTGCTTGTGATGGTTAATTTTATGTGTCAAGTTGATGGGGCTAAAAGATGCCCAGATAGCTAGTAAAACATTATTTCTCAGTGTGTCTGTAAGGGTGTTTCTAGAAAATATAAGCATCTGAATCAGTAGATGGGCTAAAGAAGATCCACCCTTACCAATGTGGACAGGTGTCATCCAAATCACTTAGGGCCTAAATAGAACAAAAACGCAGAGCAACAATAAGTTCTCCCTTTCTTCTTGGCTGGGATATCCATCTTCTCCTGCCCTTGGAATTGGAGCTCCTGGTTGTTGGGCCTTCAGATTCCAGGACTTAAACCAATGGCCTCCCAGATCTTAAGCTTTTGACCTTGGAGTGGAGGTTACACCATCAGCACCTCTGGTTCTCAGGCCTTCAGATTCAGACTGAATTACACTATGGCCTTTCCCAGATGGCATATCATGGGACTTCTCAGCATCCATTATCATGTGAGCCAATTCTCATAATAAATATCCTCATGTGTATCTATATATTGATAGAGATATAGACAGACAGACAGACAGATCCTATTGGTTCCGTTTCTGGGGGAAAGCCTGACTAATACAGTGGTGGCAGCAGACAGATAATGAAAACATGTAAGGCTTTGGAAATTGTCCTCAATATCTGGGACATGAATTGGGAATCCTAACAAAAAAGTCTTTGAAAACAGAAGTTTTCTTTGTGGTATAAAGAAGAGACAGCGGTATCTTCAAGAGATGGTAATGGAAGCATAAGGTAAGGAAGTATTTCATTCATGAAAGCATCTATATCACATGGGTAATATGATTATAAGAAGATCAGAAATAAAATCCTTCAAAGTAAAGTGACCATATAATTTATCACCTAAATCTTGACAATCTTGAAAACAACAGGGTTGCTATTAGTAATTACACTGAAACAATCAGACTAAACCAGCTTTGTCCCGGAAAACTAAAACACATTATTTCTTAATAATAAGAATAGTGCAGAGTAGGTTGGAGATGGGATTATATTCAGTAATTTATCAAAACTTCCAATGTCAAGATTAAATTCAGCTCAAATGTTTCTGTACTTAATGGTATTATTTTGGCTATGAAGACACTAAAACTCTGCATACCATATTTACAATCGTGAAGGAATACAGTATCCTCCTTAAGTTGCACTGCTGAAAGTAGTAACAATGACTGTAGACCTCTCCAGCTATATCATATGGTGATAAAATTCTCCCTTTAGTCAGTAACATCTGAGACAACCACTTAACAGTATCTAAACCTTAATCAGACACTGCTAAACACAGGATGGATTGGCTCAGTCAGCCATGGCTGGACAGTGGAAAAGTTCTTAAATATAAATACAAAATCAACAGTGTCTAGCAGTGTCTCTCCATACTTTTCACTAAAATATGTAGGAAGATTAAAACATTCACAAAAATACCAAAATTATAAATGGCAATCAAGTACCAGAATTACGGAGGAATTACCCACAAAAAAAAAATCCAATGTGAGGGTAACTATAAAACAGAAAAAAAAAATGTGATAAAGGAAGAAGACAATTATACCTCTAAAATTATGTAATATGAGAACTCTAAAAAATTATTTTCAAAACTGTCTGGCAACATCAGTAGAGTAGAAGATGATATTATCACGCTATAAAACAGGTGCAGGAAATTATATGAGAATACCAATTTGAGATGAAATCACAAATGTAAATAAAGATCACCAAAATAAAACAATGCAAGAAAACCTAAAATGCAATAACAGAATTAAAAGACACATTGGGGCTGGGCACAGTGGCTCATGCCTATAATCCCAGCATGTTGGGAGGTCAAGACGGGTGGATCATTTGAGGCCAGGAGATCGAGACCAGCCTGGCCAACATGGCAAAACTCCATCTCTACTAAAAATACAAAAATTAGCCGAGTGTGGTGGTGCATGTCTGTAGTCCCAGCTACTCAGGAGGCTGAGGCAGGAAAATTGCTTGAACCCAGGAAGCGGAGGTTGCAGTGAGCCAAGATCATGCCACTGAATTCCAGTCTGGGTGACAGGGCAAGACTCTGTCTCAAAAAAAAAAAAAAAAAAAAAAAAAAAAAAGGTACATTGAAGGGCTGGGAGCAGTGGCTCATGCCTGTAATATCAGCACTTTTGGAGACTGAGGTGGGAGGATCACTTGAGACCAAGAGTTTGAGACCAGGCTGGGCAACATAGCAAGACCTTGTCTCAACAAAAAAAATTTTTTTTAAAAATAGACTGGCATGGTGGTGCGAGCCTGTAGTCCTAGCTGCTCAGGAGGCTGAAGCAGGAAGAAGATTGCTTGAGCTCAGGATCAATTTCAAGGTTATTTATTTTGTTCATTTATCTGTCTATTTTTGCATCAATACCACACTGCTTTAATTATTCAAGTATAAGATTGTCTAAGATCTGGTAGGGCTAATTACTCCTCATTATTCTTGCCTTTAACATATATGCCTGTATGTGTGCATATGTATGTTATTCTATATGTTTTATTCTTCTAAATAAATTTTATATTAATTTGATCAAATATTGATCCCAGTGTGCTCCCTACCATTATTATATTTTCAATGCTATTTCCTTTTTCATCATAATTTTAATACATTATTGTTATTATACAGGCTAGCTATTGATTTTTGTATATTTATCTCATCCTACCATTTTGTTGAATTCTGTTTTTATCAATTCAAGTAGCTTTATAATGGAATCTCTTTCGTTTTACAGATGTACAAGTCATTTTCTCTTATATTGCTCAAAAGTTTTACTATGTTTTTCATGTTACTTGATGCTTTAGGATTTATTAACATTACATTTTTATTTTGAAATATACTTTTTATCAAAATAAGATTACTGTCTTTACTAAAAGGCTTTGGCCTTGAAAAATAAAATAAAATAAAACCAAGCAGAAATTCTAGAACAAAAAAAATCATTGAAGGAAATATTAAATACATTCAAAAGCTTCAATTATAGACTAAATAGAAGAAAAAAATCTCAGAACTTGAAGAAAGGTCTTTTGAAATAATCCAGTCAGATAAAAATAAAGATAAAAGAATAGAACAGAATGAACAAAGCTTTGAGATGTCTGGGACTACATAAAGCTATAGAACTTATGCATTGTTGGTATTCCTGAGGAAGGAAGAGCAATCAAAAAATTTAGAAAACAAATTAAGGAAACAATTGCTGAGAACTTCCTATCCCAAGGCAAATACATTGCAAAAAGAAGTCACCACAGCCTATATATTCAGAATGTCTACAGTCAGTGAAAGAAAGAATTTTAAAGTTAGAAAGAGAAAATCAGCTGGTGACCTACAAAGGAAACCACATCTGACTAACAGAAGACTTATGGGCCAGAAGAGAATAAGATGGCATTTTCAAAGTGCTGAGAGAAAAAAAAAGAAATCTGTCAGTCCAGAATGTTATATGCTGCCAGAAGAAGCTTCATAAATCAAGAAAAAATAAAGTCTTTCTCAGATAAGCAAATACTTAGAAAATTTTTGGTGACTGGACTGGTCTTGCCGAAAATGCTGAGAGTACTTAGACATGGGAATGAAAGGTTGATAATTACCATTATGAAAACATACAGAAATATAAAACTTAGTTTTTATAAAATAATCACAAAAAGGAGGAAAATAAAGGAATCAAATGGAATCACAATAGAATTTCATCAAACCACAAAGACAAAAAGAGAAGAAAATAAAAAAATTTAAAACAATTTAAAAATAAAAACATGACAAGAACAAAGCCTCATATATCAATATTAACCTTTAATAGGTTAAATGCTCCACTTAAAAGATAGAGATTGGCAGACTGCATTAAAAAATATGATCAAATTACATTCTTCCTATAAGAAACTCACCTTACCTATAAAGACACATATAGACTAAAAGTAAAGGGGTAGAAAATATATTCCATGCAAATAGAAACCAAAGGGGAACACAAGTAGCTATGGTTAAATCAGATAACACAGACTTTAGATCAAAAAAAGTAATACAAGACAAAGAAAGACATTATATAATGATAAAGAGATCAATTCAGCAAAGGATACAACAATCCTAAATACATGGGCACCCAACATCAAAACACCTAGCAATACAATAATAGAGGAGGACGTCAACATCACAGTCATAGCACTAGACAGATCATTTAACAAAGAAACACTGAACTTAAACTGGATTTTAGACCAAATGGACTTAATAGACATTTACAGAACACTCTACCAAGCAATTACAGAATATACATTAGTTTGATAAGCAGATAGAATATTCTCCAAGGTAGACCATGTTAAAGCAAAGCCATAAAACAAGTTTTAACAAATTTTCAAAAATCGAAATCATATCAAGTGTCTTCTCAGACTACAGTGGAATAAAACTAGAAATCAATACCAAGAGAAACTTCAGAAATGATAAAAATACATGGAAATTTAAACAGTAGGCTTCTGAATGATCACTGGGTCAATGAAAAAATAAGATATAAATTTAAAAATTTTATTAAATGAATGAAAATGAAAACACAACATACCAAAACCTGTTAGATACAGCAAAAGCGGGGCTAAGAGGGGTTTATAGCATTAAAGCCTACAACAAAAAAGTAGAAAGACCACAAATTAACAACTTAACATCACACTTCAAAAAGCTGGAGGAAAAAGAATAAACCAAACCCAAAGTTAACAGAAAAAAACAAATATCAAATATCAAAGAAGAACCAAATGAAATAGAAAACAAAATAAAACACAAATAATCAATGAAACAAAAAGTTAGTTCTTTGAAAGGGTAAAGAAAATTGACAAAAACTAAGTAGACTAATCAAGAAAAGAAGAGACAAGATCTCAATAAATGCAATCAGAAATGAAAAAAGATATTACAATTGATTCCACAGAAATACAAGATATCATCAGTGACTATTATCAACAACTCTACACTCACAAACTAGAAAACCTAGAGGAAATAAATAAATTTCTGGAAACATACAAACACCCAATATCGAACCAGAAAAAACTAAAACTCTCAAACAGACCAATAATAAGTATCAAATCAATAAATGAAATACATCACATAAACATTAAGGACAAAAACCACATAATCATTTCAACAGGCACAGAAAAAGCATTCCATAAAATTCAGCATCCCTTCATGATAAAAATCCTCAACAAACTAGGCATAAAAAAAGCATACTTCAACATAACAGGTAATATATGACAAATCCACAGCAAACATCTTAATGAGGAAAAGTTGAAAGCATTCCCTCTAAGAACTGGCAGAAGACAAGAATGCCCATTTTTACCACTCTTATTTAACATAATTCTAGAAGTCCTCACCAAAGCAATCATGCAAGAGAAAACAAAAAGCCACCGAAATTAGAAATGAGGAAGTCAAATTATCCCTGTTCACTGATGATAATATCTTATTCTAGAAAACCCTAAAGACTTCACCAAAAAAAAAAAACCTCTTAGATTTGATAAATCAATTCGGAAAAGTTTCAGGATGCAAAATTAATATACAGAAATCAGAAGCATTTTTACACACTGATAATGACTTAGTCAAGGACCAAATCAAGAAGGCATTCCCATTCACAATGGCTATAAAAATGAAATAAAATATCAAGGAATATTTGACCAAGGAGTAAAAAGATCTCTATAAGGAGAACTATAACACACTAATGAAAGAAATCACAGACTATGCAAACAAATAGAAAAACATCCCATGCTCATGGATTGAAGGAAACAATATTATTGAAATGACCATACTACCCAAAGTAATCAGCAGATTGAACACAACCTCTATCAAATTATCATCATTTTTCATAGAATTCGATAAAATAATCCTAAAATTCATATGGAATCAAAAAAGGAGTCCAAATAGCCAAAGCAATCTTAAGCAAAAAAGAACAAAGCTGGAGGCATCACATTACCTGACTTCAAATTATACTACAAGGCTAGAGTAAGCAAAACAACATGGTGCTGGTATAAAAATAGACACACAGATCAATGGAAGAGAATAAAGAACAATATACCTGCAATCAACTGATTTTTGACCAATTCAACAAAAATTTACACTGAGGAAAAGATATCCTAATTCAATAAACAGTGTTGGGAAAATTGGATTGTTATATACAAAAGAAATAAATTGGACCCATAATTCTCACCATATACAAAAATTAACTCAAGATGGATTAAAGACCTAAACTAACACCTGACATTATAAATATCCTAGAAGAAACCTAGGAAAAACTCTTCTGGACATTGACTTAAGCAGAGAATTTATGAACAAGTCCTCAAAGCAAATGCAACAAAAATGAAAATAGACATATGGGACTTAATTAAACCAAAAAGCTTCTGTACAGCAAAGGAAACAATCAATGGAGTAAACAGACAACCTACAGAATAAGAAAAAAATACTTGTAAATTATGCATCCAACAAAGGGCCAATATCCAGAATCACAAAGAACTCAAACAGCTTAACAAAGAAAAAAAACATTTAAAAGGTGAGCAAGGGAAATGTTGAACAAACATTTTTCAAAAGAAGACACAGAAGCAGCCAACAAACTATGAAAGACGGTCCAATCTTAGAAATCATCAGAGAAATGCAAATAAAAAACACAATGAGATATCATTTTACACCAGTCAGAATGGCTGTTATTAAAAAGTCAAAACACAACAGATGTTGGCAAGGATGCAGAGAAAAGGGAACACTATACACTGTTGGTGGGAATGTAAATTAGTACAACCTTTATGGAAAATCATATGGCAATTTCTCAGTGAAGTAAAAATAGAAATAACATTTGATCTAGCCATCCCACTATTGGATATATACCCAAAGGGAAAAATCATTATACAAAAAGATAACTGCACTTGTATGTTTACCCTAGAATTATTCATAATAGCAAAGATACGGAAACAACAACCTGTGTCCATCAACAGAGGAATGGATAAAGAGAATGTAGTGTATGTGGAGGTAGTGGTGGGTGGGTGTAGGTATGCATATACACACACACTATGGAATACTATTTAGCCATAAAAAATGAATTCATGTTTTTTGCAGCAACATGGATGATACTGGAGGCCATTATACTAAGTGAAATAACTCAGAAATGGAAATCAAAAACTGCATGTTCTCACTTATAAGTGGAGCTAAACTATAGGTACAATGGACACACAGAGTGGAAAAATAGAAAGCAGCAGTGGGTGGGATAGATCAAACTCCTTGGCCCCCAAAGGACATGTGCAGGTGCTAATGGCAGAAGGTGGGTGGTTCCACCCTGTTTCCCCAGTGGTGTGTGTGAGTACCAGCTGTGGAAAGCAGGGTAAGTCAATCCACAGGTTTTGATGGAGACTAAAATGTGGGAGGGTTGAAAAATTACCTATTTGGTACAATGTTCAGTATTTAGGTGAGAGGTACACTAAATGCCCATATTTCACCACTATGAAATATATGCATATAAGAAATATGCACATGTTGACACTATGAAGAAACTGAATCAACTAATGGGCAAAATAACCAGCTGGCTTCATAATGACAGGATCAAATTCACATATAACAATATTAACCTTAAATGTGAACAGGCTAAATGCCCCAATGAAAAGACACAGACTGGCAAGTTAGATAAGGAGTCAATACCCATTGCTGTGCTGTATTCAGGAGACGTATTAGCCTATGTGTGTCTACATGCAAAGACACACGTAGGCTAAAAATAAAGGGATGGAGGAAGATTTACCAAGCAAATGGAAAGCAAAGCAAAAAAAAAAAGAAAAGAAAAAAAAAACCAGGGGTTGCAATCCTAGTCTCTGATAAAACAGTCTTTAAATCAACAAAGATCAAAAGAAACAAAGAAGGGCATTACATAATGGTAAAGGGATCAATGCAACAAGAAGAGCTAACTATCCTAAATATATATTCACCCAATACAGGAACACCCAGATTCATAAAGAAACTTCTTAAAGGCCTACAAAGAGACTTAGACTCCCATACAATAATAGTGGGAGACGTTAACACCCTACTGTCAATATTAGATCAATGAGACAGAAAATTAACAAGGATATTCAGGACTTGAACTCAGCTCTGGACCTAATAAACATCTACAGAAGCAGACCTAATAAACATCTACAGAACTCTTCACCCAAAATCAACAGAATATACATTCTTCTCAGCACCATATTGCACTTATTCTAAAACTAACCACATAATTGGAAGTAAAACACTCCTCAGCAAATGCAAAAGAACAGAAATCACCACAATGCAATCAAATTAGAACTCAGGATTAAGAAACTCACTCAAAACTGAACAACTACATGGAAACTGAACAACCTGCTCTTGTATGACTACTGTGTAAATAACAAAATTAAGGCAGAAATAAATAAGTTCTTGGAAACAAATGAGAAGAAAGGCACAGCATACCAGAATCTCTGGGACACAGCTAAAGCAGTGTTTAGAGGGCAATTTATAGCACTAAATGCCCACATGAGAAAGCAGGAAAGATCTAAAATCAACACCCTAACATCACAATTAAAAGAACTAGAGAAGCAAGAGCAAACAAATTCAAAAGCTAGCAGAAGACAAGAAATTACTAACATCAGAGCAAAACTGAAGGAGATAGAGACACAAAAAATCCTTCAAAAAAATCAATGAATCCAGGAGCTAGTTTTTTGAAAAGAATAACAAAATAGACTGCTAGCCAGACTAATAAAGAAGAGAAAAGAATCAAATAGACACAATAAAATCGATAAAGGGGATATCACCACCAATCCCACAAAAATATAAACTACCCTCAGAGAATACTATAAACACCTCTAGGCAAATAAAATAGAAAATCTAGAATAAATGGATAAATTCCTGGACACATACACCCACCCAAGACTAAACCAGGAAAAAACAGAATCCCTGAATAGACCAATAAGAAGTTCTGAAATTGAGGCAGTAATTAATAGCCTACCAACCAAAAACGTTCAGGACCACATGTTTCACAGTCGAATTCTACCAGAGGTACAAAGAGGAGCTAGTACCATTACTTCTACAACTATTCCAAATAATAGAAAAAGAGGAACTCCCACCTAACTCATTTTATGAGGTCAGCATCATCCTGGTACCAAAACCTGGCAGAGACACAACAAAAAAAAAAACAAAGAAAATTTCAGGCCAATATCCCTGATGAACATCGATGCAAAAATTCTCAATAAAATACTGGCAAACTGAATCCAGCAGCACATTAAAAAGCTTATCCACCATGATCAAGTCGGCTTCACCCCGGGACACAAGGCTGGTTCAACATACGCAAATCAATAAATGTAATCCATCACATAAACAGAACCAGTGACAAAAACCACGATTATCTCAATAGATGTAGAAAAGGTCTTCAATAAAATTCAACACCACTTCATGCTAAAAACACTAATAAACTAGGTATGGATGGAATGTATCTTAAAATAATAAGAGCTATTTACGACAAACCCACAGCCCATATCATACTGAATGGGCAAAAACTGAAAGCATTCCCTTTGAAAACCAGCACGAGACAAGGATGCCCTCTCTCACCACTCCTATTCAACATAATATTGGAAGTTCTGGCCAGGGCAGTTAGGCAAGAGAAAAAAATTAAGGGTATTCGAATAGGATGAGAGGAAGTCAAATTCTCTCTGTTGCAGATGACATGATTGTATATTTAGAAAACCCCATTGTCTCAGCCCAAAAATTCCTTAAGGTGATAAGCAACTTCAGCAAAGTCTCAGGATACAAAATCAATGTGCAAAAATCACAAGCTTTCCTATACACCAAGAATAGACAAACAGAGAGCCAAATCATGAGTGAACTCCCATTCACAATTGCTACAAAGAGAATAAAATACCTAGGAATACAACTTACAAGGGATGTGACGGACCTCTTCAAGGAGAACTGCAAACCACTGCTCAACAAAATAAGAGTGGACACAAACAAATGGAAAAACATTCCATGCTCATGGATAGGAAGAATCAATATTGTGAAAATGGCCATATTGTCCCAAGTAATTTATAGATTCAATGCTATTCCCATCAAGATACCATTGACTTTCTTCAGAGAATTAGAAAAAACTACTTCAAATTTCATGTGAAACAAGAAAGAGCCTGTATAGCCAAGACAATCCTAAGCAAAAAGATCAGAGCTAGAGGCATCATGCTACCTGACTTCAAATTATACTACAAGGCTACAGTAGCCAAAACAGCATGGTACTGGTGCCAAAACAGATGTATAGATCAATGGTGCAGAACACAGGCCTCAGAAATAATGCCACACATGTAAACCATCCAATCTTTGACAAACCTGACAAAAACAAGCAATGGGGAAAGGATTCCCTATTTAATAAATGATGCTGAGAAAAGTGGCTAGCCATAGGCAGAAAACTGAAACTGGATCCCTTCCTTACACCTTATACAAAAATTAACTCAAGATGGATTAAAGACTTAAATGTAAGACCTAAAACCATAAAAACCCTAGAAGAAAACCTAGGCAATACCATTCAGGACATAGGCATGGGCAAAGACTTCATGACTAAAACACCAAAAGCAATGGCAACAAAAGCCAAAACTGACAAATAAGATCTAATTAAACTAAAGAGCTTCTGCATAGCAAAAGAAACTATCATCAGAGTGAACAGGCAATCTACAGAATGGGAGAACATTTTTGCAATTATCCATCTGACAAAGGACTAATACCCAGAATCTACAAGGAACTTAAACAAATTTACAAGAAAAAAACAAACAACCCCATCAAAAAGTGGGCAAAGGATATGAACAGACATTTTTCAAAAGAAGATATTTATGCGGCTAACAAAAGTGAAAAAAAGCTCATCATCATTGGTCATTAGAGAAATGCAAATCAAAACCACAATGAGATACCATCTCACACCAGTTAGAATGGTGATCATTAAAAAGTCAGGAAACAACAAATGCTGGAGAGGATGTAGATAAACAGGAAGGCTTTTACACCATTGGTGGGAGTGTCAATTAGTTCAACCATTGTGGAAGACAGTGTGGCAATTCCTCAATGATCTAGAACTAGAAATACCATTTGACCCAGCAATCCCATTACTGGGTATATACTCAAAGGATTGTAAGTTATTTTACAATAAAGACGCATGCACACATATGTTTATTGTGGCACTATTCACAATAGCAAAGACTTGGAACCAACCAAAATGCCCATCAATGATAGACTGGATAAAGAAAATGTGGCACATATACACCATGGAATACTATGCAGCCATAAAAAAGGATGAGTTCATGTCCTTTGCAGTTACATGGATGAAGATGGAAACCATTATTCTCAGCAACCTAACACAGGAACAGAAAACCAAACACCACATGTTCTCATTCATAAGTGGGAGTTGAACAATGAGAACATATGGGCTCCCGGAGGGGAACATCACAAACCAGGGCCTGTTGTGGGGGTAGAGGGCAAGGGGAGGAACAGTATTAGGAGAAATACCTAATGTAGATGACGCGTTGATGGGTGCAGCAAGCCACTATGGCACATGTATACCTGTGTAACAAACCTGCACATTCTGCACATGTATCCCAGAACTTTAAGTACAATAAAAAATAATAATAATAATAAAGAAATCTGGGGCCGGGTGCGTTGGCTCACGCCTGTAATCCCAGCACTTTGGGAGGCCGAGGCAGGCAGATCATGAGGTCAGGAGATTGAGACCATCCTGGCTAACATGGTGAAATCCCGTCTCTACTAAAAATACAAAAAATTAGCCGGGTGTGGTGGCGGGCGCCTGTAGCCCCAGCTACTCGGGAGGCTGAGGCAGGAGAATGGCATGAACCTGGGAGGCAGAGCTTGCAGTGAGCCGAGATCGTGCCACTGCACTCCAGCCTGGGTGACAGAGCAAGACTCCGTCTCAAAATAAACAAACAAACAAGAAATCTGCATATGTACCCCCTAAATATATTTAAAAAGTTTACAAATCACACACACACACACACACACACACACTCATACATACACATACGCAAAAAAAAATCATGCTATCTCACTCCATCTCACCCAGGACATGAAACATCTCTTTGTTCAGCATATCTGCACTATATACACTACTCAGCCATTGCTCACTTAGTAGCCACCTCATTTACCAGGTCAACTGCCTCAGAAAACTTACAATCATGGCAGAAGTTGAAGATGGAGCAGGCCCATCACATGCCAGAGTAGGAGTGAGAGATAGGGGATGGGAGGTGCCACACACTTTTAAATAACCAGATCTTGCGAGAACTCACTATCACAAGGACAGTACTAAGAGGATGGTGCTAAACCATTTATAGGAAATTTGCCCCATTATACAGTCACCTCCCACCATGCCCCACCTCCAACACTGGGGATTACAATTCAACATGAGATTTTGGTGGGGACACAGATCCAAACCATATTAGCCCTTGTGTATCAACAGTAACCTTGAATATAAATGAGTTCCCCACTTAAAAGCTATAGACCAACTGAATGGATTTTTTAAAAAATGACTCAAGTATATGTAGCCTATGGAAATTCAAAGTAAAAGGATAGAATTTAAAAATTCCATGCAAACAAAAACCAAAAGCAAGCAAGAACAGCTATATCTATATCAGATAAAAAAGACTCTAAGTCAAAACAGTAAAAAGTGACAAAGAAGATCATTACATAATAATAACAGGATCAACTCAGCCAGAGGATATAACAATTCTAAATATATATGCAAACAACATCAAAGAACCCAGATATTTATAGTAAATATTACTAGATCTAAAGGTAAAGATCGACTCTAATGCCATAATAGCAGGAAACATCAACACAGCAGCATTGGACAGGTCATCTAGACAGAAAATAAACAAAGAAACATCAGACTTAAATTGTAATGTAGACTTAAGTGGACATAACAGACCTCTAAAGACCATTTTACCCAACAGCTACAGAATATGCATCTTCTCACCAGGACACGGAACATTTTCCAGGATAGATCATATCTTAGGCTACAAAACCAGCCTCATCAAATTTTTAAAATACAAGATCATATCAAGTATCTTCTAAAACCACAATGGAAAACTAGAAACTAATAGCAAGAGGATCTTTGGAAACTACAAATACATAGAAATTAAACAACATGCTCCTGAACAACCACTGGATCAATGAAGAAATTAAGATGGGAATCAAGGCATGACAGGCATGGTGGCTCATGCCAGTAATCCCAGCACTTTGGAAGGTTGAGGCGGGAGGATCACTTGAGGCCAGGAGTTCGAGACCAGCCTGGGAAACATGGCAAAACCCCGTCTCTCTTAAAAATACAAAAATTAGCTGGGCATGGTGGCGCAGGCCTGTAGTCCCGGCTATTCAGGTGGCTGAGGCAAGAGAATTGCTTCAGCCTGGGAGGCGGAGGGTGCAGTGAGCCTAGATCGCACCACTGCACACCGCCTGGGCAACAGAGCAAGACTCTGTCTCAAAAACATAAAAAAATAAAAAAACATGGAAGTCAAAAAAAATCATAAAACAATAGAAATTGAAACACAACACATTAAAACTATGGAATGTAACAAAAGCAGTACTAAGAGGAAAGTTTATAGCAATAAATGCCTACATCAAAAAAGCAAAAAGATCTCAAATAAACAGCTCAAATAAAATACTACACCTCAAGGAACCAGAAAAGGAGGAACAAACCAAACCAAAAATTTGTAGAAGAAAAAAATAAAGATCAGAGCAGAACTAAAACACAGATACTAAAAACAGTATAAAGGACAAAAAAAGAGTTGGATTTTTTAAAGCTAATCAAAATTGATGAACTGTTAGCTGGACTAAGCAACAAAAAAAGAAAGAAGACCCAAATGAAATCAGAAATGAAAAAAGACACATTACAATAGTTACCAGAGAAATACAAAAGATCATCAGAGACGACTATGAAAAACTATATGCTAACAAATTGGAAAACGTGGAAGAGATGAATAAATGCCTGGACACATACAACCTACCAAATTGAACAGTGTCTGTTAAAAAGCCTTAACAGATCAATAATGAGTAATAAAATTAAATCAGTAATAAAAAGTCAACAACAACAAAAAAGCCCAGGACCAGATGGCTCTACTGCTGTATTCTACCAAACTCATAAAGAGAAACTAACACCAATTCTTCTCAAACTATTCCATAAAATTGAAGAGAAAATTCTTCCTAATTCACTTTATGAAGTCCTTGATATCAAATCCAAAGATACAACAAAAAAGAAAACTATAGGCCAAAACCCCTGATGAAAATTGATGCAAAAAGCCTCAACAAAATAGTAGCAAACCAAATTCAAAAAACATTTAAAAAGTTAATTCACCATGATCAAGTGGGATACACCTCAGGGACATAAAGATGATTCAATGTCCACAAATCAATAAACATGATACATCACATAAACAGAATCAAGGACAGAAACCACTGATTATCTCAATAGATACTGAAAAAACTTGATAAAATTTAACATTGTTTCATCATAAAAACTCTCAATACATTGTGTATAGAAGAAACATACCTTAACACAATAAATGCTACATATGACAAACCCACAGCTAACATTATACTGAATGGGGAAAAGTCGAAACCTTTTCCTCTAAGATTTAAAATAGGACAACGATGCCCACTTTCACAACTCTTATTAACACAGTATTAGAAGTCATAATGTGTTAGGCCATTCCTGCATTGCTATAAAGAAATACCTAAGACTGGATAATTTATAAGGAAAAGAAGTTTAATTGGCTCACAGTTCTGCAGGCTGTACAGGAAGCATGGTACCAGGTATCTGCTCAGCTTCTCATGAGGCCTTGGGCTGCTTACAATCATGGCAGAGGGCAAAGGGGGAGCCAGTGTCTCCCATGGAGAAAGCAGGAGCAAGATGGGTCAGGGGAGATGCCACATACTTTTAAACAACCAGATCTCATGAGAAGTCACTATTGTGAGAACGGCACCAAGCCACGGGGGATCTGCCCCCATAATCCAATCACCTCCCACCAGGCCCCATCTCCAACTTTGGGGTTTACGTTTCAACATGATGTTTGCGTGGAACAGATATCCAAACCATATCATTCTGCATCTGGCTCCCAAAATCTCATATCCTTCTCACATTTCAGAATACAATCATCTCTTCTCAATAGCCCCCAAACTCTTAACTCATTCCAGCATTAACTCAAAAGTCCCAAGTCCAAACTCTCATCTGAGACTCAAGCCAATTTCCTTCTATCTATAAACCTGTAAAATCAAAGCCAATTTATTTATTTCTAGATACAGTACAGGCATTGGGTAAAGACTTCTGTTCCTAAAGGGAGAAGTTGGCCTAAAGAGAAGGATGACAGGCCCCATACAAATCTGAAACCCATCAGGGCAGTTATTAAATCTTAAAGCTCCAAAATAATCTCCTTTGACTCCATGTCCCAAATCCAGGGCATACTGGTACAAGAGGTGGGCTCCCAAAACCCTGGGCAGCTCTGCCCCTGTGGCTGTGCAGGGTAAGCCCCAAAGCTGCTCTTACAGGTTGGAGTTGAGTGCCTACAGTTTTTCCAGGCACAGGGTGCAAGCTGCCAGTGGATCTACCATTTTGGGGGTCTGGAGGACAGTGCCCCTTCCCATAACTCCACTAGGCAGTACCCTGTTGGGGACTCTGTGTGGGGCCTCCAGTCCCTCTTTTCCCCTTGACACTGCTGTAGTAGAGGTTCTCTGTGAGGGCTCTGCCCTTGCATTCTGCCTCGGCACCCAAGATTTCTCATATATTCCCTGAAACCTAGGCAGAGGCTGCCAAGCCTCCTTTACTCTTGTACTTTTTTCAGCTACAGGCTTAACACCATGTAGAAACCACCAAAGCTTATGGCTTGTACCCTCTGAAGCAGTGGCCTGAGCTGTATCTGGGGCCCTTTGCACCCAAGGCTCTAGCTGAAGCAGCCCAGATACAAAGAGAAGTGTCCAAAGGCTGCACAGGGCAGCAGGGCCGTGAGCCTGGCATTCTTTCCTCTTAAGCTTCTGGGCATGTGATGGGATGGGCTGCTATGAATATCTCTGAAATGACTTCGAGGCCTTTTCCCCATTGTCTTGGCTATGAGCACCTGGCTCCCTTTTTGCTATGCAAATCTCTCTAGCAAGTGGTTACTCTGCCTGGATTCTTCTGAAAACAGGCTTTTCTTTTCTTTTCTTTTCTATATGGCCAGGTTATAAATTTTCCAAATTTTTATTCTCTGCTTCCCTTTTAAATATAACTTGGAATTTTAAGTCATTTCTTTGCTCCTGTATCTGACTTAGGTTGCTGGAAGCAGCCAGGCTATGTCTTAAATGCTTTCCTGCTTAGAAATTTCTTCTGCCAGATACCCTAAGTCTAAACTTCCACAAATCCCTAGGGTGTGACAAAATACAGCCAAATTCTTTGCTAAGGCATAATAAGGGTGATCTTTGCTCTAGTTTCCAATAAGTTCCTCATTTGCATCTTGAGACCTCCTCAGCCTGGACTTCACTGTCCATATCACCATCAGCATTTTCGTCACAATCATTTAACCAGTCTCTACGAAGTTCCAAACTCCCTCATCCTCTTGTTCTTCTTCGGAGCCCTCCAAATTTTTCCAACCTCTGCCTGTTACGCAGCTCCAAAGTTGCATCCACATTTTGAGGTATCTTTGTAGCAACGCCCCATTCCTCAGTACCAATTTCCTGTGTTAGGCTATTCCTGTCTTGGTATAAAGAAATATCTGAGACTGGGTAATTTATAAATAAAAGAGGTTTAATTGGCTCGTGGTTCTTCAGGTGTCCAGGAAGCATGGCACTGGGCATCTGCTTGGTGTCTGGTGAAGCCTTGGGCTGCTTACAATCATGATGAAAAGCAAAGAGGGAGACAGCTTTTCACATAGAGAGAGTGGAAGTAATGAGTGGGGGAGGTGTCACATACTTTTAACCAAACCTCAGGAGAACTCACTACCATGAGGATAGCACCAAGCCATGAGGGATCTGCCCCCACAACTCTAACACATCCTACCAGACCCCATCTCCAAAACTGGGGATTACAGTTTAACATGACATTTGGGTGGGACAAATATCTAAACCATATCACATAAACAGATCAGGCAAGAGAAAGAAATAAAAGGCATCCAAACAGGAAAGGAAGATGACAAATTGTCACTTTTTACAGATGACATGATCTTATATACAGAAATACCTAAAGATTCCACCAGAAAACTCGTAAAACTGCTCAATGAATTCAATAAATTTATGGCATACAAAGTCAACATAAAAAAAATCAGTTGCATTTCTATACAACATTAAAGAACTAGCTGAAAAAAAATCAAGAAAGCAATCCCATTTAAATAGCTATAAGAAAAAGTAATATACCTAAAAATAAATGTAATGATGAAGGTGAAAGACCTCTGTAAAGAAAGCTGTAAAACACTGATAAAATAAATTGAAGAGAATACAAAAACTTAAAGAACATCTCATGCTCACTGACTGGAAGAATTAATATTGTAAAAATAAAGATACTACCTAAAGCAAACTACAGTTTCAATGCAATCACTATCAAAATGCCAAAAACATAATTAAAAGAAATTTTTAAAATCTCTATAGAACCACAAAAGAACCCAAATAGTCAAGCTATTCTGGGCAAAAAGAGCCAAATTGAAGGCATCACACTACCTGACTTCAAAATATACTACAAGGCTATAGTAACTAAAATATAATATTATTGAACAAAAACAGACACATAGACCAATGGAACAGAATAGAGAACCCAGAAGTAAAGCTATGCACTTACAGTCAACTCACTTTTTACAAAGGTGCCATGAACATACACTGGGGATAGGAGAGACTCTAAAAATGGTGCTTGGAAAACTAAATCTTCATGTGCAAAGAAATGAAACTAGGCCCCAATCTCTCAAAAATCAATGCAAAATACATTAAAGGCTTAAATGTAAGACCTGAAACTATAAAACTACTAGAAGAAAACGCAGGAGAAATGCTCTAGGACATTGGTCTAGCCAAAAATTTTATGGCCGTGATCACAAAAGCACAGGCAACAACAACAAAAATAGACAAATGGAACTATATTAAATGAAAAAGCTTCTGCCCAGCAGAAGAAACAATCAATAAAAAGGCAGCTTGTTGAATGAGAGAAAATATTTGCAAACTATTCCTTCAACAAGAAACTAATATCCAAAATATACAAGAAACCCAAACAATTCAATAGCAAAGAAACAAATAATCCCATTAAAAGTTGGGCAAAAAATCTAAATAGACATTTCTTAAAGACAACATACAAGCAGGCAGCAAATATTTAAAAAATGCTCAACATCATTAATCATAACGAAATCTAAATCAAGACCAGAATGAGATATCATTTTATTCTAGATCGAATGCTTATTATCAAAAAGACAAAAAATAACAAACACTGTCAAAGATGTAAAAAAAAAAAAAGAACTATCACACATGGCTGGTGGGAATGTAAATTAGTACAATCATTATTAAAAAAAACATTATAGAGGTTTCTCAAAAAGCTAAAAATATAACTACAATATGATCCAGCAATCCCACTACTGGGTTTATCCAAAGGAAATGAAATCAGTATATCAAAGGAATACCTACACCATCCTGTGTACTGCAGCACTATTCACAATAGCTAAGAAATGAAATCAAGCTAAGTGTCCATCAATGGATGAATGGATAAAGAAAACATGGTACATATCCACAATGGAATACTATTCAGCCATAAAAAGAATAAAATCCTGTGATTTGTAACATGGAGGAAATTGGAGGTCATTATGTTAAGTGAAATAAGCCAGGCATAGAAAGATGAATATTGCATGTTCTCATTCTTATGTATGAGCTAAAAAAAAAAAAAGTGAATTTCATGGGGATATAGAGTACAATGATAGCTACAAGAGCCTGGGAAGGGGTGGGAGAATGAAGCGACATTAGCTAATGCGTTAAAACACACAATTAGGTAAAAGGAATAAGCTCTAGTGTGTGATAGCACAGTAGGATGACTATATTAACAAAATATTTTATATTTCAAAATAGCCCATAAAATAAGATTTAAAATGTTCCCACACAAAGAAATGATAAATGTTTGAGGTGATGAATATCCTAAAGACCCCGATTTTATCATTACACATTGTATGCATATATCCAAATGTCACATGTGCCTATAAGTATGTACAAATATTATGCATCAAAAACATTTACAAGCTAAAAAAAGAAATAGGAATGATGATGATATGGCAGACTCTGTTCTGAACACTTTAACTACATTAAGTTACTCAACTTATATTAACTTACTTGATCTTCATTTTAGATAAGGAATCTGAGGTAAAGAGAGTTTAAGAAACTTTCCCAAGGTCACATCATTAGTGAGTGGCAGAGCAGAATTCTAAGAAAAGAAAAAGTGTATGAGGCAAAATAAATAAATAAATAAAATTAAGCATAGGTGGAAAAATTAATATCAAAATAGAATCCAATTAAATATTAATAGGCATAGTGATGTCAGAAAAATGGTGGAATAGAAAGCTCCAAGCTCCCAAACTCCCCACAAAAACATAAAACACAAGCAAAAACTATGAGAACCAACTTTGTCAGAAGTCTGTGTCCGGAATTTATTCCTTCCAGTGGATCCTTGGTCTCGCTGACTTCAAGAATGAAGCGACAGACCCTCGCAGTGAGTGTTACAGCTCTTAAAGATGGTGTGTCCAGAATTTGTTCCTTCAGATGTTCAGATGTGTCCGGAGTTTCTTCTTTCTGGTGGGTTCGTGGTCTTGCTAACTTCAGGAGTGAAGCCGCAGACCTTCGCAGTGAGTGTTAACAGCTCTTAAAGGTGGCGCATCTGGAGTTGTTTGTTCCTTCCAGTGGGTTTGTGGTCTCGCTGACTTCAGGAATGAAGCCGCAAACCCTCACAGTGAGTGTTACAGCTTATAAAGGTAGTGCGGACCCAAAGAGTGAGCAGCAGCAAGATTTATTGTGAAGAGCAAAAAAACAAAGCTTCCACAGTGTGGAAGGGGACCCGATCAGGTTGCCGCTGCTGGCTCGGGTGGCCAGCTTTTATTCCCTTATTTGGCCCCGCCCACATCCTGTTGATTGATCCATTTCACAGAGTGCTGATTGGTCCATTTTACAGAGCACTGATTGGTCCATTTTACAGAGTGCTGACTGGTGCATTTACAATCCTTTAGCTACACACAGAGCGCTGATTGGTGTGTTTTTACAGAGTGCTGATTGGTGCATTTACAATCCTTTAGCTAGACACAGAGTGTTGATTGGTGTGTTTTTACAAAGTGCTGATTGGTGAGTTTACAATCCTTTAGCTAGACACAGAGTGCTGATTGGTGCATTTACAATCCTTTAGCTAGACACAGAGCACTGATTGGTACATTTTTACAGAGTGCTGATTGGTGCATTTACAATCCTTTAGCTAGACAGAAAAGTTCTCCAAGTCCCCACTCGACCCAGGAAGTCCAGCTGGCTTCACCTCTCAATGTCAGAAAAATGGTGGAATAGAAAGCTCCAAACTCCCAAACTCCCCACAAAAACGTAAAACACAAGCCAAAACTATCAGAACCAACTTTGTCAGAAGTCTGCAGAACAGTCAAAAGTTTACAGCAAACCAAAAGAAAGCTGAATTAAGAAAAACATAACTTAGGGCCGGGTGTGGTAGCTCATGCCTGTAATCCCAGCACTTTGGGAGGCTGAGGCAGGTGGTTTACTTGAGGTCAGGAGTTTGAGACCAGCCTGGTCAACATGGTGAAACCTCAACTTACTGAAAATACAAAATTAGCCAAGTGTGGTGGCACATGCCTGTAGTCCCAGCTACTCAGGAGGCTGAGGCAGGAGAATCACTTGAACCTCAGGGGCAGAGGTTGCAGTGAGCGGAGATCATGCTACTACATTCCAGAAAGTCTTGACTCATCACATACAAGCGAGCCTCAATAAGATAAACTACCAATTTCTCATCAGAAACTATGGAGGCCAGAGGCAGTGGGATGATCCACTTAAGGTACTAAAAGAAAAAAAAATCAAATAAGAATTCTATACCTGGCAAAGCTGTCCTTCAAAAAGGAAGAGAAAATTAAGATGTTCCCAGAAAAACATAGGGAGTTCATGATCATGAGACAGTTAATACAAAAGAGATCCTTCAGGTTGAAATCAAAGCACACCAAGTAGTAACTCAAAGCCATATGAAGAAATAAAGTTTCCTGGTAAAGATAACTATGTAGACAAATACAAAAGCCAATATTATTGTATCATTTATTTGTAACATCACTTTTTACTTCCTGCATTATTTAAAAGACAAATTAATAAGAAATAATTTTGCACCATTATTGGGTATGCAATATATAAAGATGTAATTTTGTCATTAGATACAGGGTGCAGGGAATTGAGCAGTCTCGAGCAGAGGTTCTCTAGGCTATTAAAATTAAGTTGGGGAAGTCCTAGCCAGAGCATTCAAGCAAGGGAAAGAAATAAAAGGCATCTGAATTGGAAAAGAGGAAGTCAAACTATTTTTGTTTGCCGATGATATGATCATATACCTAGAAAAGCCTAAAGACTCCTCCAAAAAGACTCCTATATTTGATAAATGAATTCAGTAAAGTCTCAGGTTACAAAATCAGTGTACACAAATCAGTAGCACTACTATACACCAACAATGACCAAGCTGAGACTCAAATCAAGAACTCAATCTTTTTTACAATAGCTGCAAAAAAAAAAAACTAGAAATATACGCAACAAATGAGGTAAAAGAGCTCTACATGGAGAACTATAAAATACTGCTAAAAGAAATCACATATGACACAAACAAATGAAAACACATCCCATGCTCATGGATTGGAAGAATATCATAAAAATGACCATACTGCCTATTGTACAGAATCAATGCAATTCCTATCAAAATACCAACATCATTTTTCACAGAATCAGAAAAAAATCCTAAAATTAATATGGAACCAAAAAAGAGTATACAAAGTTATAATAACCAAAACAGCATGGTACTGGCATAAAAGTAGATAGACCAATGGAACAGAAAAGAGAGCTCAGTAATAAAGCTAAATATCTAAAACAAACTAATCTTCAACAAACCACACAAAAACATAAATTGGTTAAAGGACACCCTATTCAATAAATGGTTCTGGGAAACCTCAATAGCCACATGTAGAAGAATGAAACTCTATCCCTATCTCTTACCATATACAAAAAGAAAGGTGGGAATGGGTGAGGTATTTAAGAACCTGCATATTGGATACAATGTATGCTACTCAGGTGACAGGTGCACTAAAATCTCACACTTCACCATTGTATAATTCATCCATGTAACCAAAACACACTGTACCCCTAATATTATTGAAATAAAAATTAAAAGTATCAACTCAAGTTGTTATAAGTTTAAAGTGTTAAATATAATCCCCATATTAACCACAAAAAATCTAAAAACATACACAAAAGAAAATGAGAGGAGAATAAAAAATGTTACACTATGAAAAAAATCAATGAAACACAATGAAGATGCTAAAGGAGGAAAATGCAGGGGAAATGGCTTAAAACATACTGAAAACAAATATAATAATGACAAAAGCAAGTTCCCCTTAACAGTAATTATATTAAGTATAAGTGGATTAAACCTCCAGTCTAAAGACAGAAACTGACAAAAGCTTTTAAACACATACATACATACATGACCCAATGACATGCTATGTATAAGAGACTCATTTTAGATGCAAAGACACAAAAATATTGAAAGTGAAGGGATGGATAAAGATATCCTATACAAAAAATAACAAAAAAAATCTGGCATGGCTACACTAATATCAAACAAAACAGACTTTAAGCCAAGAAATGTTACAACAAAGACGAGCAGTACACACTAATAAAAGGGTCAACGAATCAAGCAGATATAACAATTAAAAACATATATATAACAAACAGCAGAGTCCCAAAATATCTGAACCAAACACTGACACAATTGAAGGGAGAAACGGACAGATCTATTATACTTGGAGATATAGATACTCTTCTTTTAATAATGGACACAACAGGCAGAGAGAAGAGCAGTTAGTAAATATTTGACTTGAACAACATGATAGCCCAACTGGACCTAACACATATATGCAGAACCCTCCACCCAACATCAGCAAAATACACAATTTTTTTCTAGTGTACATAGAACACTCTGTAGGAAAGACCACATGTTAGGACACAAAACAAGTCTTAATAAATATAAAGAAATTAAAATGAATATGAAGTATCTTTTCTAATATAATTTTTAAAAACTAGAAATTAGAGATGGAAAATTTAAATTCACAAATATGTTGAATTTAAACAACATGCTCTTAAACTACCAATGGGTCCCACAATAAATCATAAGGTAAATTAGAAAATATCTTGAGACAGGGGTGGCACCAAGATGGCTGAATAGGAACAGCTCCAGTCTGCAGCTCCCAGTGTGAATGATGCAGAAGACAGGTGATTTCTGCATTTCCAACTGAGGTACCGGGTTCATCTCACTGGGGCTTCCCAGACACGTGGGTGCAGCCCACGGAGCAGGGCAGGGCATCGCCTCACCCTGGAAGCTCAAGGGATCAGGGAATTCCCTTTCCTAGCAAAGGGAAGCCATGACAGATGGTACCTGGAAAATCAGGACACTCCCACCCTGATACTGCACTTTTCCAATGGCCTTAGCAAATGGCATACCAGGAGATTATATCCCGTGCCTGACTCGGAGGGTCCCACATCTATAGAGCCTCACTCATTGCTAGCACAGCAGTCTGAGATCAAACTGCAAGGCGACAGTGAGGCTGGGGGTGGGGCATCCACCATTGCTGAGGCTTGAATAGGTAAACAAAGCCGCCAGGAAGCTCCAACTGGGTGGAGCCCACTGCAGCCCAAGGAGGTCTGCCTGCCTCTGTAGACTCCACCTCTCAGGGCAGGGCATAGCTGAACAAAAGGCAGCAGAAACTTCTGCAGACTTAAACGTCCCTGTCCAACAGCTTTGAAGAGAGTAGCGGTTCTCCCAGCATGGAGTTTGAGATCTGAGAACGGACAGACTGCCTCCTCAAGTGGGTCCCTGACCCCTGAGTAGCCTAATTGGGAGGCACCTCCCAGTAGGGGGGCGACTGACACCTCATAAGGCCGGGTGCCCCTCTGAGACGAAGCTTCCAGAGGAAGGATTACGCAGCAACATTTGCTGTTCTGCAGCCTCCGCTGGATACCCAGGCAAACAGGGTCTGGCGTGGACCGCCAGCACACCCCAAGAGACCGGCAGCTGACGGTCCTGACTGTTAGAAGGAAAACTAACAAACAGAAAGGACATGCACACCAAACCCCATCTGTGCGTCAGCATCATCAAAGACCAAACGTAGATAAAATCACAAAGATGGGGAGAAACCAGAGCAGAAAAGCTGAATATTCTAAAAATCAGACACCTCTTCTCCTCCAAAGAAACAGAGCTCCTCACCAGCAACCGAACAAAGCTGGATGGAGAATGACTTTGATGAGTCGAGACAAGACTTCAGATGATCAGTAATAACATACTTCTCCGAGCTAAAGGAGGATGTTCGAACCCATCGCAAGAAGCTAAAAACCTTGAAAAAAGAGTAGACGAATGGCTAACTAGAATAAACAGTGTAGAGAAGTCCTTAAATGACTTGATGGAGCTGAAAACCATGGCACGAGAACTGCATGACACATGCACAAACTTCAGTAGCCGATTTGATCAAATTGAAGAAACATTATCAGTGATTGAAGATCAAACGAATGAAATGAAGCAAGAAGTTTAGAGAAAAAAAGAGTCAAAAGAAATGAACAAAGCCTCCAAGAAATATGGGACTATGTGAAAAGCCAAATCTAAGTCTGATTGGTGTACCTGAAAGTAACAGGGAGAATGGAACCAAGTTGGAAAACACTCTTCAGGATACTATCCAGGAGAACTTCCCCAACCTAGTGAGGCAGGCCAACATTCAAATTCGGGAAATACAGAGAACGCCACAAAGATATTCCTTGAGAAGAGCAACCCCAAGACGCATAATTGTCAAATTCACCAACGTTGAAATGAAAAACAAAAAAATGTTAAGGGCAGCCAGAAAGGTCGGGTTACCCACAAAGGGAAGCCCATCAGACTAACAGCAGATGTCTCGGCAGAAACTCTACAAGCCAGAAGAGAGTGGGGGCCAATATTCAACATTCTTAAAGAAAAGAATTTTCAACCCAGAATTTCATATCCAGCCAAACTAAGCTTCATAAGTGATGGAGAAATAAAATACTTTACAGACAAACAAATGCGGAGAGATTTTGTTATCACAACGCCTGCCTTACAAGAGCTCCTGAAGGAAGCACTAAACATGGAAAGGAACAACCAGCCACTGCAAAAACATGCCAAATTGTAAAGATCGTCGAGGCTAGGAAGAAGCTGCATCAACTAATGAGCAAAATAACCAGCTAACATCATAATGACAGGATCAAATTCACACATAACAATATTAACCTTAAATGTAAATGGGCTAAATGCTCCAGTTAAAAGACACAAACAGGCAAATTGGATAGAGTCAACACCCTCAGTGTGCTGTATTCAGGAGAACCATCTCATGTGCAGAGACACACATAGGCTCAAAAAAAAGGGATGGAGGAAGATCTACCAAGCAAATGGAAAACAAAAAAAGGTAAGGGTTGCAATCCTAGTATCTGACAAAACAGACTTTAAACCAACAAAGATAAAAAGAGACAAAGAAGGCCGTTACATAATGGTAAAGGGATCAATGCAACAAGAAGAGCTAACTATTCTAAATATATATGCACCCAATACAGGAGCACCCAGATTCATAAAGCAAGTCCTGAGAGACCTAAAAAGAGACCACGCAATAATAATAGGAGATTTTAACACCCCACTGTCAACATTAGACAGATCGACCAGACAGAAAGTTAACAAGGATATCCAGGAAATGAACTCAGCTCTGCAACAAGTGGACCTAATAGACATCTACAGAACTCTCCACCCCAAATCAACAGAATATACATTCTTCTCAGCACCACATCACACGTATTCCAAAATTGACCACATAGTTGGAAGTAAAGCACTCCTCAGCAAATGTAAAAGAACAGAAATTATAACAAATTGTCTCTCAGACCACAGAGCAACCAAAATAGAACTCAGGATTAAGCAACTCACTCAAAACCACTCAACTACACGGAAACTGAACAACCTGCTTCTGAATGACTACTAGGTACATAACAAAATGAAGGCAGAAATAAAGATGTTCTTTAAAACCAATGAGAACAAAGACACAACATACCAGAATCTCTGGGACACATTCAAAGCAGTGTGTAGAGAAAAATTTATAGCACTAAATGCCGACAAGAGAAAGCAGCAGAGATCTAAAATGGACACCCTAACATCACAATTAAAAGAACTAGAGAAGCAAGAGCAAACACATTCAAAAGCTTGCAGAAGGCAAGAAATAACTAAGATCAGAGCAGAACTGAAGGAGATAGAGACAAAAAACTCTTCAAAAAATCAATGAATCCAGGAGATGGTTTTTTGAAAAGATCAACAAAATTGATAGACCACTCGCAAGACTAAAAAGAAAAGAGAGAAGAATCAAATAGACGCAATAAAAAATTATAAAGGGGATATCACCACCAATCCTACAGAAATACAAACTACCATCAGAGAATACTACAAACATCTCTACGCAAATAAACTAGAAAATCTAGAAGAAATGGATAAATTCCCCGACACATATACCCTCCCAAGACTAAACCAGGAAGAAGTTGAATCCCTGAATAGACCAATAACAGGCTCTGAAATTGAGGCAATAATTAATACCTTACCAACCAAAAAAGTCCAGGACCAGACAGATTCACAGCCAAATTCTGCCAGAGGTACAAAGAGGAGCTGGTTCCATTCCTTCTGAAACTATTCCAATCAATAGAAAAAGAGGGAATCCTCCCTAATTCATTTTATGAGGCCAACATCATCCTGATACCAAAGCCTAGCAGGGATACAACAAAAAAAGAGAATTTTAGACCAATATCCCTGATGAACGTTGATGCAAAAATACTCAATAAAATACTGGCAAACCAATTCAGCAGCACATCAAAAAGCTTATCCACCACGATCAAGTTGGCTTCATCCCTGGGATGCAAGGCTGGTTCAACATACACAAATCAATAAACGTAATCCATCATATAAACAGAACCAATGACAAAAACCACATGATTATCTCAACAGATGCAGAAAAGGCCTTTGACAAAATTCAACAGCGCTTCATGCTAAAAACTCTCAATAAATTAGGTATTGATGGGACATATCTCGAAACAATAAGAACTATCTATGACAAACCCACAGCCAATATCATACTGAATGGGCAAAAACTGGAAGTGTTCCCTTTGAAAACTGGCAAAAAACAGGGATGTCCTCTCTCACCACTCCTATTCAACTTAGTTTTGGAAGTTCTGGCCAGGGCAATCAGGCAAGAGAAAGAAATAAAGGGTATTCAATTAGGAAAAGAGGAAGTCAAATTGCCCCTGTTTGCAGATGACATGATTGTATATTTAGAAAACCCCATCGTCTCAGCCCAAAATCTCCTTAAGCTGATGAGCAACTTCAGCAAAGTCTCAGGATACAAAATCAATGTGCAAAAATCACAAGCATTCTTATACACCAATAACAGACAAACAGGGAGCCAAATCATGAGTGAACTCCCATTCACAATTGCTTCAAAGAGAATAAAATACCTAGGAATACAACTTACAGGGCCTGTGAAGGACCTCTTCAAAGAGAACTACAAACCACTGCTCAGTGAAATAAAAGAGGACACAAATAAATGGAAGAACATTCCATGCTCATGGATAAGAAGAATCAATATCGTGAAAATGGCCATACTGCCCAACGTAATTTATAGATTCACTGCCATCCCCTTCAAGCTACCAATGACTTTCTTCACAGAATTGGAAAAAACTACTTTAAAGTTCATATGGAACCAAAAAAGAGCCTGCATTGCCAAGACAATCCTAAGCCAAAAGAACAAAGCTGGAGGCATCATGCTACCTGACTTCAAACTATACTACAAGGCTACAGTAACCAAAACAGCATGGTACAGGTACCAAAAGAGAGAGATACACCAGTTGGACAGAATAGAGCCCTCGGAAATAATATCACACATTGAAAACCATCTGATCTTTGACAAACCTGACAACAACAAGTAATAGGGAAAGGATTCCCTATTTAATAAATGGTGCTCGGAAAACTGGCTAGCCATACGTAGAAAGCTGAAACTGGATCCCTTCCTTACACCTTATACAAAAATCAATTCAAGATGGATTAAAGACTTAAATGTTAGACCTGAAACCATAAAAACCCTTGAAGAAAACCTAGGCAATACCATTCAGGAAATAGGCATGGGCAAGGACTTCATGTGTAAAACACCAAAAGCAATGGCAACAAAAGCCAAAATTGACAAATGGGATCTAATTAAACTAAAGAGCTTCTCCACAGCAAAAGAAACTATCATCAGAGTGAACAGGCAACCTACAGAATGGGAGAAAATTTTTATAATCTACCCATCTGACAAAGGGCTAATATCCAGAATCTACAAAGAACTTAAACAAATTTACAGGAAAAAATCAAACAAACCCATCAAAAAGTGAGCAAAGGATATGAACAGACACTTCTCAAAAGAAGATATTTATGTAGCCAAAAAACACAGAAAAAATGCTCATCATCACTGGCCATCAGAGAAATGCAAATCAAAACCACAAGGAGATACCATCTCACACCAGTTAGAATGGCAATCATTAAAAAGTCAGGAAACAACAGGTGCTGGAGAGGATGTGGAGAAATAGGAATGCTTTTACACTGTTGGTGGGACTGTAAACTAGTTCAAGCATTGTGAAAGACAGTGTGGCGATTCTTCAAGGATCTAGAACTAGAAATACCATTTGATCCAGCCATCCCATTACTGGGTATATACCCAAAGGATTATAAATCATGCTGCTATAAAGACACATGCACACATATGTTTATTGTGGCACTAATCACAATAGCAAAGACTTGGAACCAACCAAATGTCCATCAATGACAGACTGGATTAAGAAAATGTGGCACATATACACCACGGAATACTATGCAGCCATAAAAAAGGATGAGTTCATGTCCTTTATAGGGACATGGATGAAGCTGGAAACCATCATTTTCAGCAAACTATTGCAAGGACAGAAATCCAAACACCACGTGTTCTCACTCACAGGTGGGAACTGAACAATGAGAACACATGGACACAGGGTGGGGAGCATCACACACTGGGGCTTGTCGGGGGGTGTGGGGAGCAGGGAGGGATAGCATTAGGAGATATACCTAATGTAAATGACGAGTTAACGGGTGCAGCACACCAATATGGCACATGTATACATATGTAACAAACTGGCACGTTATGCACATGTACCCTAGAACTTAAAGTAAAATTAAAAAATATATATCTTGAGATAAATGAAAACAAAAATAAAAATTTACCTAAAACTTATAAGATGCAGCGAAAGTTGTACAAAAAAATGAAATTTAGAGCTGTAGACACACATTAAAAAGAAAATCTCAAATAAACAACCTAACTTTATGCCTTAAAAAAACTAGAAAAAGGACAACCTAAATCCAAAGCTAGCAGAAAAATTAATAAAGGTAAGATCAGAGATAAATGAAGTAAACAGAAAAACAATAGGTAAAATCCATGAAATCAAGAATTGGTTCTTTGAAAAGGCTGACAAAATTGAGACATTTAGCTAGATTGAATAAAAGAGAGAGAAGACTCAACTAAAATGAGAAATGAAAAAGAAACATTATAATTTTATAAACTAAAAAGGATTATAAGAAAATACAATGCACAACTGTAAAACAAAAATTGGATTACCAAGGTGATATGAATAAATTCATAGAAACACCAACCTACCAAGACTAAATCATGAATAGAAAATCTGAACTATAGAGGAAGTGGAGCAAGATGGCTAAATAGAAGCTTCCACAAATAGTCCTCTCCACATGAGCACCAAATTTAACAACTATCTACACAAAAAAAGGACCTTCATAAGAACCAAAAAACAGCTTAGGTACCATGTCGCTCACAGTGAGAAAGAGCACCAAGTGCTTTCTTGAGGTCTCCAATTCCAGACCTTTGCTCTTAGATGGCATTTCTGGACCTACCCTGGGACAGATGGGAGCCCGCTGCCCTGAAGGGTGAATCCCAGGCCTGGCAGCATTCACCAAAAGCTAACTGAAGAGCCCTTGGTCCTTAAATAAACACAGGTAACACCCTGGCAGCACTCCCCATGGGCCTGTGGTGGTGCTGGTGAGACTCCTCTGCCTTTTAGTGAAGGTGATATTCTCTGGTGGCAATGTAGTAATTACTCACTTTTATTTTTTGTGTATCTATTAATATATTTTTAGATTTGAGGTTACCATGAGGCTTGCAAATCATATAACCCATTATTTTAAACTGATGATAACACTGATTGCACAAACAAACAAACAAAAAAACAAGCAAAAAGGAAACTAACAAAAACTCTTAAATTTGCCATTTTGATGCCAATAATCCTTAAATTTGCCCTTTTTGGCCTTTGCAGCTAATAACACTTAATTTTTCCTAATTCTAGAATTAAGTTTTCCCTAATTCTAGAATTGAAAAATGCAATAAACATGCTGAATAATGCATCAGAGTCCTTAATAGCAGAACTGATCAGGCAGAAGAAAAAATTAGAGAGTTTCAAGAGGGGCTATTTGAAAATACACAGAGGAGAAAAAAGAATAAAAAACAATGAAGCATGCCTACAAGATCTATAAATTAGGGAAAATTTAAGTGTTATTAGCTGCAAAGTCCAAAAAGGCAAAATTTAAGCATTATTGGCATCACAATGGCAAATTTAAGAGTTACTGGCCTCAGAGAGGAGGTAGAAAGAGGGAGATAGGGGTAAAAAGTTTATTCAAAGAGATAGTAACAGAGAACTTCCCAAACCTAGACAGAGAGATCAATATTCAAGAACAAGAATGTTATAGAAACAGATTTAACCCAAAGAAAACTACCTCAAGGCATTTAATAATCAAACTCCCAAAGGTCAAGGATAAAGAAAGAATCCTAAAAGCAGCAAGAGGGAAAAAAACAAGTAACATACAATGGAGCTCCAATACATCTGGCAGCAGACTTTTCAGTGAAAATCTTACAGGCCTGGAGAGAGTAGTAGGACATATTTAAAGAGCTGAAGGAAAAAGACTTTTACCCTAGAATATTATATCTGGCAAAATATGCTTTAAGCATAAAGGAAAAATAAAGACCTTCCCAGACAAACAAAAGCTGAGGGATTTTATCAACACCAGACCTGTCCTATAAGAAATGCTAAAGAGAGTTCTTCAATCTGAAAGAAAAGGACATTCATGAACAATAAGAAATCATTTGAAGGTATAAAACTCACAGGTAGTAGCAGATAGAAAAACAGAGAATAGTATAACACTATAATTGTGATGTGTAAAATACTCTTAAGTAGAAAGACTAAATAATGAACCAATTAAAAATAAATAGAACTACAACAACTTTCCAAGACATAGTTAACAATAAGACATAAAGAGAAAAATCAAAAAGTTAAAAAGCAGGGGGATGAAGTTAAAGTGTAGAGTTTTTGCTAGTTTCCTTTTTGCTTGTTTTTGCTGTTGTTGTTGTTGTTATTTGTGCAATCAGTGTTAAGTTATCATCAGTTTAAAATAATGGGTTATATGATTTGCAAGCCTCATGGTAACCTCAAATCTAAAAATATATACAATGGACACACAAAAAATAAAAAGCAAGTAATTACTACATGCCACCAGAGAAAATCACCTTCACTAAAAGGAAGACAAAAAGGGAAGAAAGAAGGAAGAGAAGACCACAAAACAACTGGAAAAGCAATAACAAAATGGCAAGAATAAGTCCTTAGAATCAATAACAACACTGAATGTAAATAGACTAAACTGTCCAATCAAAAGATACAGAGTAGCTGAATAGATTTGAAAAAATCAATATCCAATGATTGGTTGAGTATAATAAACACACTTCACCTATAAGGATATGCATAGACTGAAAGCATAGGGATGAAAAAAAGCATATTCCATGCAAATGGAAACCAAAAAAATCAGCAGGAGTAGCAACACTTATATCAGACACAATACATTTCAAGATAAAAACTATAAGAAGAGACAAAGAGGAGCATTATGTAATGATAAAGGGGTAAATTTAGCAAGATAATATAACAATTGTAAATATATATGCACCCAAAACTGGAGCACCACAGTTTATAAAGCAAATGTTATTAAAGCTAAAGAAAGACATAGACCCAAATACAGTAACAGTTGGAGACTTCAACACCCCACTTTCAGCATTAGACAGATCCTCCAGACAGAAAATCAACAAAGAAATCTCGTACTTAATCTACACTATAAACCAAATAGATATTTACAGAACATTTCTTTCAGTGGCACCAGAATACACATTTTTCTCCTCAGCACACGGAGTATTCTCAAGCATAGACCATTTGTTAGGCCACAAAACAAGTCTTAGAACATTCAAAATAATGAAATAGCCAAGATTTGGAAGCAGCCTAAGTGTCCAGCAACAGATGAATGAATAAAGAAAATTTGGTACATATACACAATGGAGGACTATTCAGCCATAAAAAGAATGAGATCCTGTTTATGTGCAACAACATAGATGGAACTGGAGGACATTATGTTAAGTGCAATAAGCCAGGCACAGAAAGACAAACTGCATGTTTTCACTTATTTGTGGGAGCTAAAAATTAAAACAATTGAACTCATGGATGGACATTGAGAGTAGAAGGATGGTTAACCAGAGGCTAGTAAGCATAGTGGGGGAAACGAGGATGAGTACACAAAACCAGAAAGAATGAATAAGATCTAGTATTTGATAGCACAATAGGGTGACTATAGTCAATAATAATTTAATTATACATTTTAAAATAACTAAGAAAGTATAATTGGATTATTTGTAACATAAAGGATAGATGCTTGAGATGATGGATACCCCATTCACCCTACTGTGATTATTACACATTATACGCCAGTATCAAAATATCTGATATTCCCCATAAATATATACACCAACTAGGTACCCAGAAAAAAATTATAAACTAAAAATTTAAAAAAGAAAATCTGAACAGACCTATAACTAGTAAGAAAATTGAACCGGTAATCATAACGCTTTCAACAAAGAAATGTCTAGGACCAGATGGCCTCACTGATGAATTCTATAAAACATTTAAAGATTTAACACCAATTCTCCTCACACTCTTCTAAAAAATAAAAGAATAGGGAAAACTTACAAAATAAGACCAACATTACCATGATACCAGAACCAGAAAAAGACATTATTTTTAAAAACATACAGAGCAGTATCCTTATGATACAGATGCAAAACTTCTCAAAAAATACTAGAAAAATGGACTAATGGCATATTAAAAGAATCATACACCAAGACCAAGTAGGATTTATCCCAGGAAAGAAAGTGTGGTTCAAACTAGGAAAATCACTCAGTATAATACACCACATTAATCGAACAATGGAAAAAGCCACATGATCATCTCATCTCAATTGATGCAAAAAAAATGCATGTGACAAAATCTGTTACCATTTCATGGTTTGAAAAACACTCTCACAAAATTATGAATAGAAGAAAACTTCCACAACATGATAAAGTACATTTATAAAAACCCACACCTAATATACCTGCCTTAGTCCATTTTCTATTGCTATAACTGAATACCTGAGACTTGGTAATTTGTAAAGAAAAGAAATTTATTTCTTACAGTTCTGAAAGCTGGGGATTTCAAAGTTGAGGAGCCACATCGGAGGAGTGCCTCCTTGCTGGTAGGAACTCTCTCTGCAGAGTGCTGAGGCTGTTCTGGGCATCACATGGCGAAGAAGCTCACAAGAGACAGACAAACTGGCTTTTAAAGAAGACCCATTCTCTTGATAACCCATTAATCTATGAATGGATTAATTTATTCATGTGGCAAGGCCTCCATGACCTAATCAACTCCCAAAGGTCCCACCTGTCAACACTGCTACAATGGGGACCAAGTTTCCAGCACATGAACTTTTAGGGTATACATTCAAACCATAACAATATCCAATTGTGAAAGACTGAAAATTTTCCTCTTAAGGAAAAAATGAGGATGTCCACTTTCATCACTGTTATTCAACATTGTACTAAAAGATCCAGTCAGAGAAATTAGAAAATAAAAAGAAACAAAGGCCATCCAAATTGGAAAGGAAGAAGTAAAACTATCTTTATTCACAGATGATTCATATATACATATAATTTCAAAGGTTCCACACAAAAACATTAGAGTTAACATATAAATTCAGCAGTCACAGAATACAAATCAGTGTGTGCTTTGATTTAAACGTGCCTCCTAAAGTTCATATACTAGAAACTTAATCCCTGGTGCAACAATGTTGAGAGTTAGGCTCTTTAAGACATAATTAGGTAATGAGGGCTTTGTCCTCATGAATAGATTAATGCCATTATTGTAGGAGGGGGTAAGTTATCACAAAGTAGGCTCCCGAGTTTGTCCCCCTTCCTCTCTCTGTTGCTCTCTCATGCTCTCTCACCCTTCCACCTTCTGCCATGGGATGATGCAGCAAGAAGGCTGTAGCCAGAGGCAGGTCCCTTGACCTTGGACTCCCCAGCCTTCAGAACTGTAAAAAATAAATTTTTCTTTATATTAGCCAGTCTGTGGTATTCTGTTACAGCAACCCCAAATGGAGGAAAATGCGGGGAATGAGAGTTATTGCTTAATGAGTTTCCTTTGGGAGTGATGAAAAGTTGTGGAAATAGATGTTAGTGATGGTTGCACAACACTGTGAATGTAATTAACGCCACTGAATTGTATACTTAAAGATGGTTAAAATGATATATTTTATGTTAGGTATACTTCATATTTTGAAAATTTTAACTAGATTAATTCAGTTCAACTTGACTGCTGGGATAAAAGAAAACGTCTTTAGATAATAATGAATATTTAGCTCAGACAATGGATCATCACAGGTCAAACAGAGGCATTCCCACTTCAAAACAAAATAGAAGAGTGTTGCTCCTGTATCCTCCACCACAGCCATTTAATTTTGTCTTAAAAGTTTAGGTCAATGCCAATCCTAAGCAAAAACAACAAAGCTGGAGGCATCACACTACCTGACTTCAAACTATACTACAAGGCTACAGTAGCCAAAACAGCTTGGTACTGGTACCAAAACAGATACATAGACCAATGGAACAGAACAGAGGCCTCAGAAATAAAACTACACATCTACAACCATCTGAACTTTGACAAACCTGACAAAAACAAGCAATAGGGAAAGGATTCCCTATTTAATAAATGGTGTTGGGAAAAGTGGCTAGCCATATGCAGAAAACTGAAACTGGATCCCTTCCTTACACCTTATACAAAAATTAACTCGAGATGGATTAAAGACTTAAACATAGGACCTAAAACCATAAAATCCCTAGAAGAAAACCTAGGCAATATCACTCAGGACATAGGCATGGCCAAAGTCTTTATGACTAAAACACCAAAAGCAATGGCAACAAAAGCCAAAATTGACAAATAAGATCTAATTAAACTAAAGAGTTTCTGCACAGCAAAAGAAACTATCATCAGAGTGAACAAGCAGCCTACAGAATGGGAGAACAATTTTGCAATCTATCCATCTGACAAAGGGTTGATATCCAGAACCTACAAGAAACTTAAACGAATTTACAAGAAAAAAACAAACAACCCCATCAAAAAGTGGGCGAAGGATATGAACAGACACTTTTCAAAAGAAGACATTTATGCGGCCAACAAACATATGAAAAAAGCTCATCACCACTGGTCATTAGAGAAATGCAAATCAAAACCACAATGAGATATCATCTCACATTTATTAGAATGGTGATCATTAAAAAGTCAGGAAGCGGCAGATGCTGGAAAGGATGTGGAGAAATAGGAATGCTTTTACACTGTTGGTGGGAGTGTAAACTAGTTCAACCATTGTGGAAGACAGTGTGGCGATTCCTCAAGGATCTAGAACTAGAAATACCATTTGACCCGGCAATCCCATTACTCGGTATATACCCAAAGCATTCTAAATCATTTTACTATAAAGACACATGCACATGTATGTTTACTGTGGCACTGTTCACAATAACAAAGGCTTGGAACCAACCCAAATGCCCATCAATGATAGACTGGATAAAGAAAATATGGCACATATACACCGTGGAATACTATGCAGCCATAAAAAGGATGAGTTCACATCCTTTGCAGGGACGTGGATGAAGCCAGAAACCATCATTCTCTACAAACTTAACACAAGAACAGAAAACCAAACACCACATGTTCTCAATCATAAGTGGGAGCTGAACAATGAGAACACATGGACACAGGGAGGGGAACATCACACACAGGGGCCTGTCAGGGGTGGGGGCCTAGGAGAGGGATAACATTAGGAGAAATACCTAATGTAGATGACGGGTTGATGGGTGCAGCAAACCACCATGGCACATGTATACCTATGTAACAAACCTGCACGTTCTGCACATGTATCCCAGAACTTAAAATATAATAATAATTAAAAAATTTGGCTGGGCGCGGTGGCTCACGCCTGTAATCCCAGCACTTTGGGAGGCCAAGGCGGGCGGATCATAAGGTCAGGAGATCGAGACCATCCTGTCTAACACGGTGAAACCCCATCTCTACTAAAAATATAAAAAATTAGCTGGGCATGGCGGCATGCGCCTGTAGTCCCAGCTACTCGGGAGGCTGAGGCAGGAGAATGGCGTGAACCCGGGAGGCGGAGCTTGCAGTGAGCCGAGATCATGCCACTGCACTACAGCCTGGGCGACAGAGCAAGACTCTGTCTCAAAAAAAAAAAAAATTTAAGTTTAGGTCAATGCAATAAAATATTGATTGAATACTAACATGATACATGTTGGAAAGGAAGAAAAAAATATCTTTGCTTTTAACCGTATATCAAACACCTAAATAACCTAGCAAAAATATTACATATACAGAAATCATCTTTTTTCCTGCTATGCTCAGATTAATTTCGGGTGTCATATTAAGAATTCATAATGCCACATACTATTATTTGCTTGAGATAAAGCTATTGCTTCCCCTTTACACAGATCTTAGTTAAAATAGACTCTCTAAGTAATATAATGATAACTCACCAATCTTTTTTTTTTTTTTTTTTTTTTTTTGAGATGAAGTGTCACTCTGTCGCCCAGGCTGGAGTGCAGTGGCGTGATCTCGGCTCACTGCAACCTCCACCTCCTGGGTTCAAGCGATTCTCCTGCCTCCGCCTCCTGAGTAGCTATTACAAGCATGCACCACCACACCCAGCTAATTTTTGTATTTTTAATAGAGACAGGGTTTCATCATGTTGGTTAGGCTGGGCTCGAACTCCTGACCTCGTGATCCACCCGCCTCGGCCTCCCAAAGTGCTGGGATTACAGGCATGAGCCACCACGCCTGGCCCACCGAGATAATTTTTATATAATTGTCGTTATATTTGTATGCTATCCAGTGACTCCCTAACAAGTTGTTTGTATATTTAATAATGTTTTCCCCTCATTTATTTATAATTATATCATGGAAACACATAATCATTCAATCACATTTTCATCTTCCAAAACAGAGTCTTTTTACCTTGAGATTTTTCTGCTGCTTGGTAAGTTTGTTCTTCAGTCATCTTTTGTAATTGTTCTTCTGAAACATCAGCCTTAATAACAAAAGTTGTAATAAGTAATTAGAAATTATATACATATATATATATATCAAGACTGGTATTTAATTACCTGCTTTGAGAAAAAGAGCTAGCTTTTTGCTCTCATCTACAATGTCATTGCAGAAACATTTTATTTTTCATTATTTCCTGAATGTATCAAATTAAAAAGTCAGAACAATTAATGGACCTGAGAGGCAATTGGGAACACTGAATAGCAAGGAGGGTGCCCAGGCAATATTGTGATTTTTCCCTCGCAAATAGTTCTAAGCAAATAGTGTTAATAATTATTAAGATTCTTGTTTAGATTTATATTTTAGTCTGTTTTAATCTTTAGAAGAACTCAAATGGCTTACAAAATTATTATTATAGGAATACTTTAATAAAATGTATGATAAAAATATATTGTGGATACATGTCAAATATGTACAGCCCTTTTATCTTTTCCCTTTTTCCCAGCATTTTTGCCCTGAGAATTTCCTAATTAAATGCTTTTTAACAAAAGCAATTCTAAAAATTTTCTAGGTCTTGTTTAGAGACCTATATAAAATTGTTTCAAAATTAGTTTGCTTTTACAATCATCTTATTGTATAAAAATTTTTTTTGTAGATGAAGCTGAAAACTATGAAAATTTCCCTTATCTCAGAATGACATATCTTTTATATTACCATTAAAACTAAAATGTAACCCACAACTTTTTAATCAATATTAAACAATTTTTATAAGTTAAGAATATTACTTAGATTCCCAAATATTACTTTCAGCATTCTAAATATAAAGTGGGTTGTGTTAAAAGGCAAACTTTTAATTCTCTTGAAATAAGAAAATATTGAATTTTTAACCCATTTAAATGGGTTAGCATTTATTTATTGAAGGAGCAATATGAAATAAACAGCTTTCAAGTTTCTATATATATCATACCTTTTTACTTTCTGTAAGAACAGGAGGTAAAATGAATGGTGATATCACTGTTTCGTTTTTTTGAGCCAATGTTCCAACAGACAGTGAATCTTGAACTTCTTTGCTGGATGATACTGTTGTAAGTGATTTATCATGGGTCTCTGATGGAGATTTATAGGATTGGTTTTCAGCAACTGAAACTTCATTTGAACTCTCTAAAAATGCTGATTCATCTTGAGACTTAAGGATCTGTGAAAGATCTGAAATAGCAGGGCTAGATCGTTTCTTCTCTGAGCTTTAGAATTATAAAACATCTGGTATTAGATTATGTGAAGACCATTTTATTTGCAACTGAAGAATCATTTTAATAATATATAAGGATATTAAATAAGTAAGTATAATTACTCATTAGTTTATGGTTATTCCAATATGAAATTGATGCTAGGTAACAAGTTGAAGATAGTAACATATGTCCTGTGATTTAAAGGGATACATAATACTAAGGAAATCATTTAAAATACTCCAATATAATCATTATTCAAGGTTGTAAGCCATAGAACAAGAAAAATTTACTCAGCCAAAGTAGAACATAGGATGGTTTGGAGATTTACCCTTTAGTCACATTTATTCCAAAATTATTTTTCCACAATTTTATTTCAGAATGAAAATTAAAATATCTCCACAGTCACTTTGACATTAAAAGATCACCATCTTTCACCAAAGTCAATTTCCCAAGCTCTGAGTTAGTTTTCTTTAAGATAAGGGGTATTTATTCTCTACCAGTTGCCAAAGGATCAGCTTTCTGGATTCCAGAACTAGGGTAACCAGGTGTCACAGTTTGCATGCACAATCCCAGTTTCTGCTTGTTGTCCCAACATTCTAGTTTAGATGATAATTTAAGTGATCAAACTATATAAAAATTTAACAAAGCTTTCCTAGTCCTATGAAATGCAACAGAATTTGATGCATTTTGTTTTGAACAGCTATTACCCCAGTTGACATAATTTGCCTAAGGTTTGTTGCAAAGTGTTTAAAATAATTTGAAGTTTGGTCTCACAGAAGAAAAATTTTTCAATGTACCTACTGCCACCTATCCTACGTTTGTTAGTTTAGAATGAATTTTGAACTGCAAAGTTTGGGTTATAAAAAAGGGGAGTGGGGTGGAGAGGACAGCTCTGAAAAAAAAAGTATATATATATATATATATATATATATATATATAGTGCTGACAGTTTAAAAAAACATAGAATTTATGACAAACAGACTTTTGTAGTGGCATTATAAAGCAAATTGCCATATTAAAAGTAAAGAGAATAGCTGGCTTCCTATCCTAAATTAAGGATAGCATCTCATTCTCAAACCTGATTTATTAGTTCTATTAGGTGTTTGAATTTAAGATGATTAGTTCTAAAATAAAGTCTAACACTCATCTGGACACTATTTGTTACAGTTATTCACAAACCACCACCCCAACACTAATATTATCACATAGCTAAAAATAGAAAGCAAATGTTTTTTAAGATTCTGAAATGGTTATTAGGGGACATCATTAATCACTTGATTCTACACAGGCAATTTTCTTATAACAATGAGAAAATATGTGGCAATACAAAGAACAATGCCTTAAATGCTAATATACTGTACATTTATAACCATATTCCCACGTTCAGGCTTTCCCCACTTCTGTTGTCTCTTGCATCCATAAGGAACCACAGCATAACAACCATGATACTTCCACTGAGGGGGTCAGGAATAAAAACTACTAGGAAGGTGTGCAAGCAATGCTGTATTCAAGCTTGTGCCAGTCAAAGAGATGTGGAAATACTTTCAAAGCCCTACTGATTAGATGGTGAAGGAGGAGGAGGAAGAGAAAGAGGAGAATGAGGAGAAGGAAGAGGAGGAGTTGAAGGAGGAGGAGGAGGAGAACAGCAATGATGACTATAGAAGGCAGCCTATAGCCACAAAGAAAATAATAATAAAGCAAGTTGTTTTCACCCTCCCAATTATTTGGTGAATTGCCAAAAACAACCAAAATATAGTTTATAAATCTTACTAAATTTGTGTCATTCACTGTCTGCTTTAGATTAAGACTCTCTAATAATCACTCCATGTCTAAATACTACCGTATAATAGTCTAATTATGAGCATGTATTTTAGCAGCTTTTATATAAGCATATTGACAGCACTCTACATGACAGTCTTCAACATCACTGAAGTGGTATAAAGAGTGTATCTCTTCCTGCTTGCAAAAGCATTTGTTAACTCTGAAGATCTGAGCATTGCATCCTTTTCTTACTAAGCAAATAGATGTACAAGGGCACTATTTATTATGCATATAATCATGGACACTTCATAATTCTTAAATCAGACAAAATGGAAAATGTCATTGAATGTTAACTGCCCAAACTGCCCTCTTTATTTTTTTTTCTTTCTAATACCTTCTTTTTCAAACTGCCCTCTTTATTTTTTTTTTCTTTCCAATACTTTCTTTTTCCGGAACTTTCCTTAACTCCATCCATTTTCTAAAATGTCAACACAACCCCCAATCCATATCCTCTCCCCTTAGGGAAAAAAACTCTCACAGGTATTTATGTTACACTGAATTTTTAATTATCAATGCAAATACGAGACAAATTATCAATAAAATACTAATAAAATATTATTGATATTCTTATCTGCAACAATACAACATGTGGAACTCATTCCTATATACAAGAAAAACAAAAATATCTAGGACCCGAAGTTTGTAATACAGTACAAACTAACATGATTCTAAAAATCAATTTTATAGAAAAATTTCAATATAGGTGTTATAAAAGTCAAAAGTTATAAATATTTTGATAGTTTTTACAATACAATACAATTAATGTTGATCAAAATATTCATAGTGACTAGTTTTAGGCTCCTCAACTGAAAAGAAAGTCAAAAAGTTTTAAAGGTTCAGTAAAAGTCCAAGATGACTAAGAGCCTGGAAAAGATAAAAGGTTAAAACACTTGAAATTATTAACTTAAAGAAAATTAGGGTGATGGACTGCTTAGAAATAGTTTGTAAATGTATAAATAATTCTTATGCTGACAATGTTGCCTAGCTACATCTAGCTCCACCAGCAATGCTATTACTGAAATAATCAGAAATGGAACTCAAACTATGGGGAAATTATATAGGATAAAAGAAAAACTATTCTCTTACTAGAAAAAAAAAGTCATCAGTTAATGAGAATGACAAACATGTTTCTGAATGGCCTCGGTTAATATCTCCCTTCCCTACTTGGTAGCTTGGCAGAGACTCTCAAGGTCCTTCATTGATAACTGCAATATTGCAATGTGCTCTGCTCGCTATTCTGCTTGTAAGTTTTTCTCAATAAACCTTGTTATGTGTAGCTAGTGGTATGTGACTCGTGTATGTTACAGCTTTTGAAAAACAGAGAGTTTGGGCTACCGCTGAAGTGGGAAATAACCCCATTGGAAGCCTTATACCAGACAAACTACTAAGTTGAAATGGCCAATATCTCAGTGTCCATATCGTATATAGTCTTAAAAACTCAAGAAAGAACAAATTGCTTGTTCTCAGTGAGAATGGCTATAGTGATCAGGTAGCTAAGGAATTACGGGACACCATAATCTCAGATTAAGTAGGATGTTTCTTTTGGATTTTTACCATGCACATTTTCCCTTTGCTCATTTTGCTTTGCATCCTTTTTATGTAATAAATCATGGTCATCGTAATGACTATTTGATGAGTGCTGTGAGCTCTCCTAGTGAGGGCAGTAGTCTTGGGGAACCCAAACACACAAGGCTACTATTTTTGTACTCTATATTAATACTGTTTGCTGTTTCTTTCTCAGATTATATAATTGATATAAGGACATTCTGAATTATTAAACCGAGAACAGGTACACAGCCATATTAGTTGGATAATTATCTATTGATAACCTCCATAATGGCTGGCCAAGCACATGGTGAAAACCTGTCTGAACTGGCAAGATCATTCCATAATATTTCATACAAGAAACATAAAAATAAAGTATTTTTCAAACAAAATGTAATCAATGCACTATGCAATGCTAGTCTGTTTGGTTAAGAAAAAAAAAACAAAAACTAGTACTTGACACTCCATAGTGGACTACTGAAACTTAAACAAGGAAAGAAACAGCTCTACTTACTCCAGTCTCTGTCCTTACACAAGCTATAGAATAAATTGCTGCCACTACTGACACACATATGTAGCTGAGGATTTGGCAAGATATGCCAAGATTAGTACATATACCTTTAATAATCCTTCTTGAGAATGTTTTAATTCCTGTTACACATTTTCAATGTGGGACAAAACCCAGTAAAATGTGCATTGCTAGAATCTCCAGATATTATATCACACTGATGACTGTGATCAACACCGAAGAAACATTACATGTTGTCTAGGCATACCTGATTAAAGATAACTTTAAATGATCCAGGGCCCTGTTATTCAGATAAATTTGGAGAAGGCAGTCATCATCTGGACAGCATCAAAAAGATACATTCTATATCACTTAAAGCAGGCATCCCCAACCCCTGGACCACAAACTGATACCAGTCCATGGCCTGTTAGGAACTGGGCAACACAACAGGAGGTGAGTGGCGAGTGAGCAAGCAAAGCTTCCTCTGTATTTACAGCCACTCTCCCATCGCTTGCATTACCACCTGAGCTCCACCTCCTGTCAGATCAGCAGCCGCATTAGTTTCTCATAGAAGCACAAATCCTATTGTTAACTTCACATGTGAGGGATCTAGTTTGCGTGCTCCTTACGAGAACCTAATGTCTGATGATCTGTCACTGTCTCCCATCACCCCCAGATGGGACCATCTAGTTGCAGGAAAACAAGCTCAGGGCTCCCACTGACTCTACATTAAGGTGAGTTGTATAATTATTTCATTATATATTATAATGAAATAATAATAATAATAAAGTGTACAATAAAGGTAATGTGCTTGAATCATCCTGAAACCACCCCCTCCATCCTGGTCTGTGGAGTCTTCCACGAAACTGGTCCCTGGTGCTAAAAAGGCAGGAAACTGCTGCTTTAAAGGAAAATTTATCGGGCCTCCAGTCCCAACCACAAACGATTTTCCTTGTTAGGTAGTGGTGATATCACATTTTACACCTGGTGATTCTTCAAAGCACTATATCAATGCAACTAATTTAAAATAGAAGCCCATATATTAACATGCCTTGGAAGAGGTCTAGGCATCCTAAAAACAAGTTCTAACTTTAGATTTTGCCGTATCTTTCAAACTCATGGGATTACACATACCTGTAAGAAACCATTTTCTGACGGAAGCTTTTGGCAAAAATACTTCAAGTTATTTGTCATTTCCTACATCTTTGGATGAAATGATTTTCTTCTCCTGCTGAGTGGCACATGCCAGTGACTGCTAGCCTATTACTGAGCCCTAATGGGGCAGACTTTTCTCACTCTTCAACCCGACATTCCTATCGCATTATGGGTCTTCTCTAATCCAAAATCTGATAAGGTGGTACATGCCCAGGAAAATTCTATTAAAAGGGGGATATAGCACATCCAATCAATTAGACCTTAGACAAATTCATAAAATATGGCCCTACACTCACAGGCACAGAGATCCCTCTGCTGTTTTAAACAAGCCATTGACTCAGTAAGGCACTTGCCTGAAAGATTTGCCACCTGACAAGAAAGCATGATTCACTAATGGAAAAGCCTCTCTCAAAGGTCATAAAATCTTATGGAGTGATACATTCCTTCACCATAATGATGGTGAGTTGTTGAGATCCCATGGTATTGGACATGCTTCAAAACTGGGTAAACTTCAGGCATTCTTCATGGCCATAGAGCACAATCTCCTCAGATTGACTGAATTGCACTATTATAAAGACTAATGAGCCATTAGTAATGAGCCTAGTTACACTGTCAGGCTATTGGGTTCCCTAGGACAGAACTCTTTATTTTATTTTATTTTATTTTTGAGATGGAGTCTCGCTCTGTCACCCAGTGGCACGATCTCAGCTCACTGCAACCTCCGCCTCCCAGGTTCAAGTGATTCCTCTGCCTCAGCCTCCTAAGTAGCTGGGACTACAGGCGCGCACGACCATGCCCAGCTAATTTTTGTATTTTTAGTAGAGATGGGGTTTCACCATATTGGCCAGGCTGGTCTTGAACTCTTGACCTCGTGATCTGCCTGCCTCAGCCTCCCCAAAATGCTGGGATTACAGGCGTGAGCCACCACACTTGGCCAACAGAACTCTTTACACATGCTTTTCTGAGGTAACATTTGCCCAAGGAAATAGTTACAACAACTTAGTCACAAGCTCAATTCTTATATTCTATGTTTATATGTCCATGAGAAAGAACTGAATCTAAAGGAAAACATGTGACATGAAAAAGCCAATTAAGAATGTGTAACCATCATCTCCAGTATAGTCTTGGGTGCCTGTTCAAATCCATCCCGCTATGAAGGAACACAATGGCCAATAAGGAATTTATTCAAAAGACATAGAAGTCTTTAGGAAGCTGAGGTGCGAAAAGTCCCTGAGTCCAGGAGTTCTAGACCAGCCTGGGCAACATAGGGAGACTGAGTCTCTATAAAAAATAAAACAATTGGCTGGGCATGGTGATGCATGCCTGTGGTCCCCGCCAATCAGACAGCTAAGGTGGGAGGATGGCTTCAGTGTGGGAGGTTGAAGAAGCAGTAAGCCATGATGGTGCCACTGCACTCCAGCCTAGGGGACAAAGTGATACCCTATCTCAAAAAAAAAAAAAAAAAAAAAGACACACAGGCCACTGTTGTCCATCAGGCTTATTCTACTTGCCATTTAAGGCAGCCTTTTTGAAAACAACCTCCACAAGGCTTGTCAGTCCAGTTTTCCCTAATTGTTTACAAGCTATAGGCTACCGTACCAAGCAAGGGCCCCTCTTACCATGGTTAAACTCCAAAGCACCTAGAAGTTAGGGAGTAGAGAAAAATATCATTTCAAGAGGAATAGTATACTCCTTTTCTTTTTTTTTTTTTTTTAACCCCCTTTGCTTTGACCTCAGTGCATGGGAACACACAACATATTGCTCATTTAAAAGCAACAGATGGTGCTGCAGACATCCTCTTTGAAACCTGCAGGTGACCTATGATGGCAAAATGGTAACTTTGGGGTCCCCACTGAACTATCATTCCAGACAAAGGACAATCTGGCTCATCTCCATGGAGAAAAACAGATCTGTTTGTCAGATGTGAACATATCTGACCCTGGGAAATGGTTGGAGATGGATGTTCAAGGGAGGTGATGAACGACTTTCTCTTTCCTATGGCAGATATGGAACAGACATTCCTAAACAAAGGTTTCTGTGCTTGGCCAGGAAAAAGAGTTCATAATGTGAACTTATTAGGATGTTGGTTCTACATCCTCATCTAACCCAGCTGGTGACCTTACTAATATTCTTCTCCCAGACAATACTAAGGAAATTGGTATGCTCAGAACCAGGTGTCAGCCAGGGCTGATGGAGAGATCTATAATAATGAGTCTCTAAGATCAAAGGATAGACAGCAGTGAGGCAAATCTTTATTTACGGATGGTCCCGGTGATTCTCTTTCTTCCCTCTTTTTGTGGTTTCACAGAGCTGGCTCACCAGGACTGTTTGACTCACTGATACCAGCTACATTGGTATACAAAGTACATACTCCCTTCTCCCTTTTTCCAACAAGGCCACTGCCCCAACCAGGAAGCTCTCAGTGATACATGGTTGACTAGGTGCTCTCTATGCCCTCCCAATTCCCCTATAATTTTGTGAAGTGATATGTGAGAAGGGGGTTCCTCTCAGGAGCATCTTCTATGGTGAATCCAGCTTTGCTTAATCTAAGTCTATTTCTCTACGGAATAATGACAGCTCAGGGGATATTATATCCTCTATTGCTTCCTGGATTGCAAGGTTTCCTCTATAAAATCTACCTTATGCGTACTATTTGGGTCACTAGTAATATGCCCCTTGTGTAACAGTTAACTGAGGATATTAAAAGCTCCTCTAGTCTAGATCTTTTAGTTATAACATACATTTTCATTTGCAGAAATTTATTTTGATAAAAATTGAAAAGAAACAAAATATTTTAACAGCCTTTATTTCACAATTAGATAATGCCTTTTCTTCATTGTTAATACCTTCCTTGACCACCCAATCTAAATTATCCTTCCCTGTGACTGTCAGATATGTAGTTTCATTATCTCCATGTATTAGTCTCTAAAATTATCTTGTTCATTTATTTTTACTTGTTTATTTTTTGTCTCTCCTGTTATAATGTAAGTACCACAAGAAAAGGCATCTTATCTGTCTGATTTTTCAGTAAAACACAATACCCAAAAGAGAACTGGACATATGAAGGTGACAAAAGTATCTCTTGAATGAGTTGGGTGAATAAATGAATGAGTAAATTTAACAGCTAATCATCTAATCTATGGAGAAAAAAAATGGACATGTTCCAACACTCTTCTCTTGTATGTTTTCGTGCTTGATAGCAAACCCAAGTAATAATGAAAGTCCTAATGAAAGTATTTAGAAAGAACTAGGTTGACTGTGTAACTCTTCAAAATAAAACACCATGAATTAGTTCACATTTTCATTTCTAAAAAGTGTGAATTTCAATGCCACAAAACATTTAAGAAAAGCTAACAACGCACATGATGTGAAACAATAAATTATTAAAATCTATTGTTTGATTAACTATTTACCACTAACTCATTCCCTAAGCCAAAATAAACTGATAAATGTTGTAAAGAGCAAAAATGTACTTTATTGTAAGCAATACCATGTATCTGCTCAGGTGGGGTCTCCTTACTTCGCTCCCATCCACTCTCTGAAGGTTTGGGAGACTTTTCCAAAGTATTTCAGAAACTCTATTAGCATCTAAGAAGTAACCCAAAATGAAGGTTGATGAATAATATTGTGCCATGTGCTTAATAGTTTGAATTTTTATTATATTTAGCAACATAATATAATATGTAATATATTATATTATTATATAATATATAATAATTAACCTAAAGCTATTAAGTGCAATTCTATAAAACCTATCAAGCTGAAACAACCTATTTCATCTCATATTTCCCATTATTGTCCTTAGTCTAGGATGCAAACAAAATGAATTTTTGGCCTCTTCCTGAGCACACTGTATAGATTCTAAACATCTTCATCTTTGCCTCAAAGCAAAGTTCTGTCCACTTGGCACACCCTTTCCTCACATTTCCCTGTTAAAATCCAACCCAACCATCTTTCTAAAATTAAATGGTATGTAATTCTTAATCCAGTCAGAAATAGCTTTTCCTCTTCTTTGATGTAGCTTCTTGGTAATGTTTTATAGAATGCAACGTCTGCATTATACTTCACTTATTTTTGTACATGTCTAGTCGGCCCTACTAGACTGTTAATGCATTGAGGGCAATGACCATATATTTGAAGCCCTTTATATCCCATAATACCCAGCACAGTGCCTTGCACAGCATAGATGCTCAGTCAGTGTTTCCTCATTAGAGCTAAACTGAATTGAAATGAATTAAAATAATCTTCCTCCTGAAGTTATTACATCAATCAACATTTCTAGGGGGAAAAAGGCATTTAAGAGGAATTATTTGATATATCCATTCTATGATTTTTTTAATCTTGATGTACTATATTCCCCATCATCCTCATTCTGTTGTTCTCCATTGAACCCTTCTTCCATTCTATCACTTCCCATTAAAATTCTAAAATGTGACTTATCAGAAAAGTAGAATGAGGGCTGCCAGGGGTAATAACTCACTAGGTAACATTATCATAACCCCTCTTTAAGATTTTTCCAAACACCCATGGAAAGTAACTGAAACTGCCTTACCATGTCTTCATAGAGACCAGAAACTCTCTTTAAAATGCTTTTTGTAAGCCAGTGTTTCTATTTTCTGAGATTTACCAATGTACAAAGAGCCTATCACATTTATCAGCAGCAACTAAATGTTCAATATTAAAACAACTTATATCAAAAGTTAACCACCTCATGTTCTTCAGGGTGATAAACTACTGGCTCTGTAGGATTTTCAAAGGCTATACGTCACCATGATTGCATGGAAAACTATAGTAGCATTCCATGCTCTACCATAATCTGAGTATGAATATAAGAGCACCAGCTGGGCATGGTGGCTCACGCCTGTAATCCCAGCACTTTGGGAGTCCGAGGTGGGTGGATCACTTGAGGACAGGAGTTTGAGACCAGCCTGGCCAACATGGCGAAACCCCGTCTCTACTAAAAATATAAAAATTAGCCGGGCATGGTGGTGGACGCCTGTAATCCCAGCTCCTGGGGAGGCTGAGGCAGGAGAATCACTTGAACCTGGGAGGCAGAGGTTGCAGTGAGCCGAGATCATGCCACTGCCCTCCAGCCTGGGCAATTAAAAGCGAGACTCCATCTGAAGAAAAAAAAAAAAAAAAAAAAAAAAGCACCATGCTTTTGCTTTATTCCTTCCTATTTCTACATGATACATAAGTTCCCATTACTGTTGAAGATAATTATTAATACTTTTTCTTATACATTCTCAAATGTTTATAATACTGACTATACATATTTAAAATATAAAGAAATCAATAATAAGAAACCAACCATTATAAGTTTGCAAAGCAACAAGTGGACCAACGTCTAATTTTCTCTTGGACATTGTATTTAAAACATATAGTTTTTAGTATATGTTTAGTTAGTATTTAAAACATATAAATATAAACATTCACTACAAACATTTAAAATGAACATTTTCAAAACTTCTGGCCATTAATCATTACACTTATTACCTAATTCTTGCTAATTCACCTGGGTCTATAATCCATAAATATTTAAAATGGCAATGAAGTACATAAATGCATACTTCTAGGTAATTCCTCTTTACTCCATGGTAATGTGAATCAAGAAAGTCTGTGAGTCGATCATAATATACTAATCAAAGAGACTCACTAGTGAAAACTATAAGATTTAATTGGATGAATCAATCAACTCAATTATTTATGTGTATGCATGTACATACATATGTGTGCATATAGTAACTGAGTTAAAATGGAAGGTAAAAATGATTTTTCACTAAGTTGTTTATGTATCTAGCTCATGCATCTTGATGATAACTAAGTTGAAAATAAGGGTTAGTTCCTCACTATCTGGAAATTTTAATTGCTGTTGTCAGGAAAAAAAAGTTTGTTTCTACATTGTCCTTAATTTAAATTTAAATTTAAATTTTTCATTTAATTTTGATTTTGACTGCATCAACTCTTCTAACTTTGATATCTAAAGTTTCTAACATTTTCTACTTAAAATTAGTTTCAAAGAGTTTTGTGACATTAAATTTAGAATGGTTATTTTCATTGCTTAGGTATGTGAACTGATAAAGATTAGAAAATGAGGGAACAAATTTTTAAAAAGTGTTTTACCTCTTTTCAATCAGTCTTCCGCTTTGGGCAGTGATCTGTGATAAAGATAATACTACATTTAAAAATATCAAGTATGCATATGAAATGTTTACAGTCATTTAGAAAAATATCATTTAAGGTAGTTTTTTAATATGACAATTTCGTAAGATTAAGGTATCAAAAAAGCAAAGAAATTATCATATTTTAGCATTGGAAGAGACATTATAGAAGGAGAGTAGGCCCTAAAATTACACTTATATTTCTAAATTAAGAGCAAATAAGGTTTTATACTTTTAGTAAACAAAAAAAAAATTTTTTGAGTTAAAGAAAAGCATGTTTATTAGAGCAACAGAGTACAAGAAAATAGCTGATCCATAGACAGAGCAGGCCTGCTCCACAGGCAGAGTAGCTCAAAATTTATTTTAAACTTATCTATTACATAATTATCTAATCCTTTTAAATATTCTTGTTGAAGTGTTTATAATGCTAATACTATATATAATAAACTGTGGAGGTACTTTTTGTAATTTATCAATTTTAAAATAAGTATACTGAGAATACATGTTCAAATATGTTTACAGAAGTATGTAACCAAAAGGTTAGGCCAGCCGGGCAAGGTGGCTCACACCTGTAATCCCAGCACTTTGGGAGGCCGAGGCAGGCAGATCACCTGAGGTCAGGAGTTCAAGACTACCATGGCCAACATGGTGAAACCCCCTCTCTACTAAACATACAAAAATTAGCTGGGCATGGTGGCGGGCGCCTGTAATCCCAGCTACTCGGGAGGCTGAGACAGAATTGTCTGAACCTGAACCAAGGAGGCAGAGGTTGCAGTGAGCCAAGATCTCACCACTGCACTCCAGTCTGGGCAACAGAGTGAGACTCTCTCTCAAAAAAAAAAAAAAAAAGGCCAGTGACCTTAAAAGTGTGATTTTTATTAATAAATTACCTCTTGTGAATATAATACATATTTTCCTATAGTATAAATGTTGATTCTAGGTTTTATTCTGGACCTGATTTTCATCTAATTCAGTTTCTTTTATGCAGAGATTAACTGGTTTTATCCTTATTCCCCTGTGGCAAAGACTCCTAAATGGTCAACAAACTAATTTTCTCTTCTTCTTAGACACATTGTTAGTCTACATTTGTTAATTCCCCCTGTAGTTAAATGTAGCAAATAGGACGTGAGAAAAAAGAATGTGCATCTCCTCCAGCCAGGTCAATGAAAATTACTCATGTTTGTCCTCCATATTCTTTTCTGATAGCTAGATAACTATGCCTAGTGTGGCTCAGGAAGCCACACATAAGATGGCAAACCTTCCATATGCTGGGATACCTTAACAACCCTGTGGAGCAGAACTCCCTACCACGAAGACTGACCTTGAACTTCCTTGGACTATTAACACCAGGAAAGAAGCTTCCATTGTGTTTGAGCCATCATACATTTTGTGTCTATATGTCATAATAGTCACAATAGTTATCCTATATACTAACTAATAAATAACCAAGGATTTTCAACTAGCCACCAACATGAGACTGGCCTGGAAAGAGAGAGACCAATTAGTCCTGGTGTGAGCCTGACTAACAGAACTGTCATTAATATTGAGAAAACTGGACAGAATTTGATGGATAATAATTGGATCAAGACAAAGGAAAAGAAGAAATAACAGTGATGCTGGGCTTTCTAGTTTCAGCAATTAGATGGATGAGGATGCCAGGAGACTGAATACTGAGAGATAAAGCAGGTCTGAGAAGAGCGCAATTGGTTCATTTGGGGACATGGTGAATTCTAGATGTTTGAAGCCCATTGAAACAGAAAAATTCAGTAAGTTAATGAATAACAGGTCTGGAAATTAGGTGTTATTCGAGTTAGAGATAAGAGATTTATATGGCCCTAGAAGCCATGAAGGTATATGAGCATGTTCAGAAAGAGTATATGGAATAAAAAGAAACTCTAGGACAAAACCCAGAGAACTACTAACATTTAAAGAATGAGCAGAGCAAGAGGAGACAAAAGAGGTGTCCCAAAAATATACAAGGAAAATCAAATAATTATGCTATTTCTCAAACTATAGACTATATATGTACCCCAGAACTTAAAGTATAATACAAAAGTATTAAAAAATAAATGATTAAACATATTAAATGCTGCTAAGAGGACAAATGAGATTAAACTATAAATCATCTGGCTGGGTGTGGTAGCTCATGCCTGTAATCCCAGCATTTTGGGAGGCTGAGGCAGGTGGATCACCTGAGGTCACGAGTTCGAGACCAGCCTGGCCAACATGGTGAAACTCCGTCTCTACTAAAAATATAAAAAATTAGCCAGGCATGGTGTCAGGCTCCTGTAATCTCAGCTACTTGGCAGGCTGAGGCAGGAGAATCACTTGAATCCAGGAGGCGGAGGTTGCAGTGAGCTGAGATCACACCATTGCACTCTGGCCTGGGCAATAAAAGAGAAACTCCATCTCAAAAAATGAAAAGAAAGAAAGAAAAAAACTATAAAGCATCCTTCAGAATAGCATCAAATAGATTTGCTATAACCTCAGCAAAAATAGTTTTAATACAGTGATTGAGAAAGAAGGTTACAGTTAAATTACTATAAGAACATGGACAATGAGTATAAACTTCTATTACATCAAAATCTCCAATAATGATATCTCCTGTTTCACTATTACCAGAACAAGCCAGCTGAATACATGACATTATATACATCATCTTTGCAAAGAACCTAGCATATAAGATGTTTTATTAATGAATGTTAAGCTAGATACATAAGAAGACAGGTGTGTATTGATGTATATATAAACCCACTAAAATGAGAATCACTTATGTGAAAGCAATGTGATGTTTTAGTTACTGTTCTGCTCAGGTTCATTTTACTATTTAACTTTTTCTGTCATATATGAAAACCTCTGTTTTGGATTAGGAGATAAATACTGGGAAATAGAAAACAATAAAGCTTTTAACAAAGCAAGTTTCAAATGCAGCCATATAGACAAGCAAAGAAGATATCTTCAGATGTGATTTTGGAGCGAGAAAGACCTGAATTTGAAATCTAACTCAATATTACTCACTGTAATGCGGCATGGCTAATTTTTTAAACCTTTGGTTTCATTCTCAGAATGGAGGTGCTAATAGCTAGCTTATGGTCTTGTGTAAATGACTAGCCCGTATACACAGATATAAAATAACTAGCAGATTTTATAATAATGGCAGATATAAAATGACTAGCAGATTTTAAGTTGTGCTGCTTCTTTTGTTCTTTGTCTTAAAGCAGCTGACAGACAATCCTATATTTCTTTAGATATTTGTTTTTATATTCAATTCGGTGTACCTTACTTCGTTTATATACATGATCTAACAACTTTAATAATTTTTATTGCCCTCGGAGAAACTATTTTTATTATTTATCTTTCCAGGAAGAAGTTGAGGTAGTTCACAATAAAAATTATACACAAAAAGAGAAGGTAAAAATAAAGGACTCAAATCTCAGATGCTTATGTGGTCATTCAAAATCAGTATATATTTAAGTCATAGTTTGGTATTCAAGATAATAATGAGTTGACATATACAGAAGGTAAAGGGCAAAAGTAAAAACAAATCCAAAGGCCGGGCGCGGTGGCTCATGCCTGTAATCCCAGCACTTTGGGAGGCCGAGGCAGGCAGATCACGAGGTCAGGAGATCAAGACCATCCTGGCCAACACAGTGAAACTCCATCTCTACTAAAAATACAAAAATTAGCCGGGCATGGTGGCGCATGCCTGTAATCCCAGCTACTCAGGAGGCGGAGGCAGGAGAATCCCTTGAACCAGGGAGTTGGAGGTTGCAGTGAGCCAAGATCGCACCATAGCACTCTAGCCTGGCGACAGAGCAAGACTCCATCTCAAAAAAAAAAAAAAAAAAACCCAAAAACAGAGGCATGAATTTTTAAATAACATATACAAATGAAGTAAATAATAATATAAAAGACAAATTTCTCACAACATATACTACTGTCTCCATTTTGGTTATTTCCTCACCTGTGGATATTCTTGGATTTTATCACTTGTCCTTTGTCCACCTGAATCTGAAACCAGTGATTTTCTTGTTTCTTTCTCCAATGGTATATTTTTTGAATCTTCACCTTTAACTTTTGTTTGACTATTACCCACTTGCATTGTTGTCTCAGTTTTCCCCTCACTTTTAAGTAACTTCTCTTGATTTAGGAAATAGTTAAGTTGATGCTTAGCTTTTTCAGCTTCCTGTTTTTAAAAAAGTACCAGTTTATTAAGCATTTTCTGATATTTTCCTGCCAATACTACCACATTCAGGAATCTACATATATTTACGCCTACATGATTTCTCAACTCATTTTTACTGAGTTGAAGGGAGCAAAGGTAAGCTATTGCTATAATTGATACTTTAACAATTCCACAGTTAAAATCAGAAGTTGTGAAGAAACCTCTTCCACCTTTGAGGGCTATTTTTATACCCAGGAGTTTTTCCTGGCTGTTATTTTTAAGGCTCTAATTATTATACAAGCAAAATAAAAATTCATATAAGGTATACATTATAAAAATTGATAGACTATAAGAAGGATAATTAGCACCTATAATATCAAAGAATGAAATAAAATGTGGAAAACAATTTATTTCTTCTGGAATAAAAGTCTCCTTAAAAATGTCACTTTTTATAATTTTTATTTAGTCATACAATTAACTTACTTATATAAAAGACTATATAAATAAAAAGAAAATTCATAAATAATCTCACCTCATAAAGAAAAATTACTATTAACATTTTGAGATATATCCTTTTTAAATTTTTCTAAATATAACTAATATATATATAATATATATTATATATTAGCTATATATATTATATATATATTAGCTATATTAGAAAGGTTAGAGGGAAATTACACAAAGATATTTTTTTATATATAAATATGTTATATATTTATATATAAAAAACCCTGCATATATATAGCTAATACATATTATAATATATATAATATATAATTATACATAGCTAATATATATATTAGCTATATATATATATATCTGCGGGGTTTTTTTGCAACCTCTAGTCTCCTGGGCTTAAGTTATCCCCCCACCTCAGCCTCCCAAGTAGCTGAGACTACAGGCCCACACCACCACACCCAGTCAGTTTTTGTATTTTTAATAGAGACAGGGTTTCACTATGTTGCCCAGGCTGTTCGCAAATTCTTGGGCTCAAAGTGATCCACCGGCCTTGGCCCCCTAAAGTGCTGGGATTACAGGCATGAACCATGATGCCCAGCCAAATTTTTTAAATGTTTATCTAAATTGGGTCCTACTATACACACTTACATCTTATGCTCTTTTCATTAAATAATGTCATAGATATGTTTCTATAACAATAAACATACATTTAAATCAGAATAGGTAATAGAAGTACATTTAATAATATACTATAATTGTCTTAGCAAACTCCTTAACAATGGACATTTAGATCATTTCAAAATTTTTGCTATTAAAACATATGACATTGTACATACTTGTACAAAATCTCTGTACACTTTTTTCTTCTTTAGGATAAACTTTTAAAAGCTTTTATTGAGTGAAAAGGCTACATCTTTCCAATTTTGCTATGTCTTTTCTGTCTCCCAGAAAGACATAACAAATATCTTTTATACTTCTATTAACAAAAACAGATGAATATATCAATTCATACTTTTTTGATAATAGAAGTACGTGAAAGGTTGCTCATTTCAGCATACAACCACAAATACTACATATTTCTGTCCTTTACATTTTTACCAAGATGGTAGGCAAAACAATTTTATAATACACAAATACACTTTTGTCTATTCATTTATGAAATGCTTATAGCTTTTTTTCATTTCTTGTTGTATTATTTAACTAAAATTTTAAAAAGAGTAGTAAGAGTCAACATCTTGGTTCAACTGAGTTTAATTGGAATGCCTGCAGTATTTTACCTTTAAGTATATTGCTTATCAGCTTGAAATACATTGTCTTTTTTTCTTTTCCTTTTCTTTTGTTCACACTGCAACCATGACAGATGAATAGATTGCCTTTATTAGCTTAAGAAAGTTTACTTTTCTTTATATCTCGCTATTTTTGATAAGAATGAATATTAAATTTTATTAATATACCCCTAATGCATAAAATGAATATAGTTTAAACCTAGCCAAATAGTAGAATATGTAGACCTCTTAGCTTACAAAGTAAAAATTATTCATTTGAAAAGTTCTTTGTGGATATTTTCTTTACTTGTTAACAATGTTAAAGAAACATGACATCCTTTACCTGTAAAGCCTGTTTCAATTGCTCCTGAAGGACTTTGTTCTCAATTTCCAGACGTGCTACTTTCTAGGAAGTAAGAAGGGGGAAAAAAGGTATTTACTTTGGTATTTTTAATTAATTTAGTTTTACCAGTATTACTTTTCCAAAACCCATAGATACCCAAGATAAGAATTGAGCATAGACATTGAACTGCACATCTCTCAAGTGTAATGGTGGATAATACCTGAAGCTAAAGCTTCCTATTGATTTTTCACAGGCAAATTGAGCATGAATCGGGGAAATTACAATTGCAGTAAATCAAACATTTCATTTCTCCTTTCCTCTAGGCCTGAAATATTTAAAAAGAAGAATTTCAAATTTTACTAAAAGAAGAACCTCTACTCTTAACACAAAATAAACATTGTTCTGGCTTTGTGCAAATGAGTAAATTCTATTACACATGATGTTCCAGGAATTCTCCATCAAATTAAAGACACTTTGAGGACCATATTTAGAGTTCCCAGTTTTGCTTCTGATATGACTGAGTTCCCACTAGACAAATGCTGCCACACATAACAACCATAAACTCTGGACTAAATACAAGTATCAACAATAGGAGAACAATCAAGAGTAGGCAGATTTGTTAACTTATTTTATTTTCTTTTTAAGAGACAGGGTCTTGCTCTGTTACCCAGGCTAGAGTGCAGCAGTGGGTTCCTAGCTCACTGCAGTCTCAAATTCATAGGCTCAAGCCATCCTCCTGCCTCAGCCTTCCAAAGCATGGGGATTATAGGCATGAGCCACCACACACCCAGCCAAGTGTAGGTAGATTCTTTTTTTTTTTTATACTTTAAGTTTTAGGGTACATGTACACAATGTGCAGGTTAGTTACATATGTATACATGTGCCATGCTGGTGTGCTGCACCCATTAACTCGTCATTATAGCATTAGGTATATCTCCTAATGTTATCCCTCCCCCGTCCCCCCACCCCACAACAGTCCCCAGAGTGTGATGTTCCCCTTCCTGTGTCCATGTGTTCTCATTGTTCAATTCCCACCTATGAGTGAGAATATGCGGTGTTTGGTTTTTTGTTCTTGCGATAGTTTACTGAGAATGATGATTTCCAATTTCATCCATGTCCCTACAAAGGACATGAACTCATCATTTTTTATGACTGCATAGTATTCCATGGTGTATATGTGCAACATTTTCTTAATCCAGTCTATCGTTGTTGGACATGTGGGTTGGTTCCAAGTCTCTGCTATTGTGAATAGTGCCACAATAAACATACGTGTGCATGTGTCTTTATAGCAGCATGATTTATAGTCCTTTGGATATATACCCAGTAATGGGATGGCTGGGTCAAATGGTATTTCTAGTTCTAGATCCCTGAGGAATCGCCACACTGCCTTCCACAATGGTTGAACTAGTTTACAGTCCCACCAACAGTGTAAAAGTGTTCCTATTTCTCCACATCCTCTCTAGCACCTGTTGTTTCCTGACTTCTTAATGATTGCCATTCTAACTGGTGTGAGATGGTATCTCATTGTGGTTTTGATTTGCATTTCTCTGATGGCCAGTGATGATGAGCATTTTTTCATGTGTTTTTTGGCTGCATAAATGTCTTCTTTTGAGAAGTGTCTGCTCATGTCCTTGGCCCACTTTTTGATGGGGTTGTTTGTTTTTTTCTTGTAAATTTGTTGGAGTTCTTTGTAGATTCTGGATATTAGCCCTTTGTCAGATAAGTAGGTTGCGAAAATTTTCTCCCATTTTGTAGGTTGCCTGTTCACTCTGATGGTAGTTTCTTTTGCTGTGCAGAAGCTCTTTAGTTTAATTAGATCCCATTTGTCAATTTTGGCTTTTGTTGCCATTGCTTTTGGTGTTTTATACATGAAGTCCGTGCCCATGCCTATGTCCTGAATGGTAATGCCTAGGTTTTCTTCTAGGGTTTTTATGGTTTTAGGTCTAACATTTAAGTCTTTAATCCATCTTGAATTAATTTTTGTATAAGGTGTAAGGAAGGGATCCAGTTTCAGCTTTCTACATATGGCTGGCCAGTATTCCCAGCACCATTTATTAAATAGGGAATCCTTTCCCCATTGCTTATTTTTCTCAGGTTTGTCAAAGATCAGATAGTTGTAGATATGTGGCATTATTTCTGAGGACTCTGTTCTGTTCCATTGATCTATATCTCTGTTTTGGTACCAGTACCATGCTGTTTTGGTTACTGTAGCCTTGTAGTATAGTTGGAAGTCACGTAGCATGATGCCTCCAGCTTTGTTCTTTTGGCTTAGGATTGACTTGGCAATGCGGGCTCTTTTTTGGTTCCATATGAACTTTAAAGTAGTTTTTTCCAATTCTGTGAAGAAAGTCATTGGTAGCTGGATGGGGATGGCATTGAATCTATAAATTACCTTGGGCAGTATGGCCATTTTCATGATATTGATTCTTCCTACCCATGAGCATGGAATGTTCTTCCATTTGTTTGTATCCTCTTTTATTTCATTGAGCAGTGGTTTGTAGCTCTCCTTGAAGAGGTCCTTCACATCCCTTGTAAGTTGGATTCCTAGGTATTTTATTCTCTTTGAAGCAATTGTGAATGGCAGTTCACTCATGATTTGCCTCTCTGTCTGTCATTGGTGTATAAGAATGCCTGTGATTTTTGCACATTGATTTTGTATACTGAGACTTTGCTGAAGTTGCTTATCAGCTTAAGCAGATTTTGGGCTAAGACAATGGGGTTTTCTAGCCCAGATGACAATCATGTCATCTGCAAACAGGGACAATTTGACTTCCTCTTTTCCTAACTGAATACCCTTTATTTCCTTCTCCTGCCTAATTGCCCTGGCCAGAACTTCCAACACTATGTTGAATAGGAGTGGTGAGAGAGGGCATCCCTGTCTTGTGCCAGTTTCAAAGGGAATGCTTCCAGTTTTTGCCCATTCAGTATGATATTGGCTGTGGGTTTGTCATAGATAGCTCTTATTATTTTGAGATACGTCCCATCAATACCTAATTTATTGAGTTTTTAGCATGAAGCGTTGTTGAATTTTGTCAAAGGCCTTTCCTGCATCTATTGAGATAATCATGTGGTTTTTGTCTTTGGTTCTGTTTATATGCTGGATTACATTTATTGATTTGCATATATTGAACCAGCCTTGCATCCCAGGGATGAAGCCAACTTGATCATGGTGGATAAGCTTTTTGATGTGCTGCTGGATTCGGTTTGCCAGTATTTTATTGAGGATTTTTACATCAATGTTCATCAAGGACATTGGTCTAAAATTCTCTTTTTTGGTTGTGTCTCTGCCCGGCTTTGATATCAGGATGATGCTGGCCTCATAAAATGAGTTAGGGAGGATTCCCTCTTTTTCTATTGATTGGAATAGTTTCAGAAGGAATGGCACCAATTCCTCCTTGTACCTCTGGTAGAATTCGGCTGTGAATCCATCTGGTCCTGGACTCTTTTTGGTTGGTAAGCTATTGATTATTGCCACAATTTCAGAGCCTGTTATTCGTCTATTCAGAGATTCAACTTCTTCCTGGTTTAGTCTTGGGAGGGTGTATGTGTCGAGGAACTTATCCATTTCTTCTAGATTTTCTAGTTTATTTGCGGAGAGGTGTTTGTAGTATTCTCTGATAGTAGTTTGTATTTCTGTGGGATCGGTGGTGATATCCCCTTTATCATTTTTTATTGCGTCTATTTGATTCTTCTCTCTTTTCTTCTTTATTAATATTGCTAGTGGTCTATCAATTTTGTTGATCCTTTCAAAAAACCAGCTCCTGGATTCACTAATTTTTTGAAGGGTTTTTTGTGTCTCTATTTCCTTCAGTTCTGCTCTGATTTTACTTATTTCTTGCCTTCTGCTAGCTTTTGAATGTGTTTGCTCTTGCTTTTCTAGTTCTTTTAATTGTGATGTTAGGGTGTCCATTTTAGATCTTTCCTGCTTTCTCTTGTGGGCATTTAGTGCTATAAATTTCCCTCTACACACTGCGTTGAATGTGTCCCAGAGATTCTGGTATGTTGTGTCTTTGTTCTCATTGGTTTCAAAGAACATCTTTATCTCTGCCTTCATTTCGTTATGTACCCAGTAGTCATTCAGGAGCAGGTTGTTCAGTTTCCATGTAGTTGAGCGGTTTTGAGTGAGTTTGTTAATCCTGAGTTCTAGTTTGATTGCACTGTGGTCTGAGAGACAGTTTGTTATAATTTCTGTTCTTTTACATTTGCTGAGGAGAGCTTTACTTCCAACTATGTGGTCAATTTTCAAATAGGTGTGGTGCGGTGCTGAAAAAAATGTATATCCTGTTGATTTGGGGTGGAGAGTTCTGTAGATGTCTATTAGGTCTGCTTGGTGCAGAGCTGAGTTCAATTCCTGGCTTGTCTCGTTGATCTGTCTAATGTTGACAGTGGGGTGTTAAAGTCTCCCATTACTATTGTGTGGGAGTCTAAGTCTCTTTCTAGGTCACTCAGGCCTTGCTTTATGAAACTGGGTGTTCCTGTATTGGATGCATATATATTTAGGATAGTTACCTCTTCTTGTTGAATTGATCCCTTTACCATTACGTAATGGCCTTGTCTCTTTTGATCTTTGTGGTTTAAAGTCTGTTTTATCAGAGACTAGGATTGCAATCCCTGCCTTTTTTTTTGTTTTGCATTTGCTTGGTAGATCTTCCTCCATCCTTTTATTTTGAGCCTGTGTGTCTCTGCATGTGAGATGGTTTCCTGAATACAGCATACTGATGGGTCTTGAGTCTTTATCCAGTTTGCCAGTCTGTGTCTTTTAATTGGAGCATTTAGCCCATTTACATTTAAAGTTAATATTGTTATGTGTGAATTTGATCCTGTCATTATGATGTTAGCTGGTTATTTTGCTCGTTAGTTGATGCAGTTTCTTCCTAGCATCGATGGTCTTTACAATTTGGCATGTTTTTGCAGTGGCTGGTACCAGTTGTTCCTTTCCATGTTTAGTGCTTCCTTCAGGAGCTCTTTTAGGGCAGGCCTGGTGGTGACAAAATCTCTCAGCATTTGCTTGTCTGTAAAGGATTTTATTTCTCCTTCACTTATGAAGCTTAGTTTGGCTGGATATGAAATTCTGGGTGAAAATTCTTTTCTTTAAGAATGTTGAATATTGGCCCCCACTCTCTTCTGGCTTGCAGAGTTTCTGCTGAGAGATCCGCTATTAGTCTGATGGGCTTCCCTTTGTGGGTAACCCGACCTTTCTCTCTGGCTGCCCTTAACATTTTTTCCTTCATTTCAACTTTGGTGAATCTGACAATTATGTGTCTTGGAGTTGCTCTTCTCGAGGAGTATCTTTGTGGCGTTCTCTGTATTTCCTGAATCTGAGTGTTGGCCTGCCTTGCTAGATTGGGGAAGTTCTCCTGGATAATATCTTGCAGAGTGTTTTCCAACTTGGTTCCATTCTCCCTGTCATTTTCAGGTACACCAATCAGACATAGATTTGGTCTTTTCACATAGTCCCATATTTCTTGGAGGCTTTGTTCGTTTCTTTTTATTCTTTTTCCTCTAAACTTCCCTTCTCGCTTCACTTCATTCATTTCATCTTCCATCACTGATACCCTTTCTTCCAGTTGATCACATCGGCTCCTGAGGCTTCTGCATTCTTCACGTAGTTCTCGAGCCTTGGTTTTCAGCTCCATCAGCTCCTTTAAGCACTTCACTGTATTGGTTATTCTAGTTATACATTCGTCTAAATTTTTTTCAAAGTTTTCAACTTCTTTGCCTTTGGTTTGAATTTCCTACTGTAGCTCAGAGTAGTTTGATCGTCTGAAGCCTTCTTCTCTCAACTCGTCAAAGTCATTCTCCATCCAGCTTTCTTCCATTGCTGGTGAGGAACTGCGTTCCTTTGGAGGAGGAGAGGTGCTCTGCTTTTTAGAGTTTCCAGTTTTTCTGCTCTGTTTTTTCCCCATCTTTGTGGTTTTATCTACTTTTGGTCTTTGATGATGGTGACATACAGATGGGTTTTTGGTGTGGATGTCCTTTGTGTTTGTTAGTTTTCCTTCTAACAGACAGGACCCTCAGCTGCAGGTCTGTTGGAGTTTGCTAGAGGTCCACTCCAGACCGTCTACCTGGATAACAGCAGCAGTGGCTGCACAACAGCGGATTTTCATGAACCGCAAATGCTGCTGTCTGATCGTTCCTCTGCAAGTTTTGTCTCAGAGGAGTACCCGGCCGTGTGAGGTGTCAGTCTGCCCCTACTGGGGGGTGCCTCCCAGTTAGGCTGCTCTGGGGTCAGGGGTCAGGCACCCACTTGAGGAGGCAGTCTGTCCGTTCTCAGATCTCCAGCTGCGTGCTGGGAGAACCACTGCTCTCTTCAAAGCTGTCAGACAGGGACATTTAAGTCTGCAGAGGTTACTGCTGTCTTTTTGTTTGTCTGTGCCCTGCCCCCAGAGGTGGAGCCTACAGAGGCAGGCAGGCAGGCCTCCTTGAGCTGTGGTGGGCTCCACCCAGTTCGAGCTTCCTGGCTGCTTTGTTTACCTAAGCAAGCCTGGGCAATGGCGGGCGCCCCTCCCCCAGCCTCGCTGCCGCCTTGCAGTTTGATCTCAGAGTGCTGTGCTAGCAATCAGCGAGACTCCGTGGGCGTACGACCCTCCAAGCCATGTGCGGGATATAATCTCCTGGTGCGCTGTTTTTTAAGCCTGTTGGAAAACCACAGTATTAGGGCGGGAGTGACCTGATTTCCAGGTGCTGTCTGTCACCCCTTTCTTTGACTAGGAAAGGGAACTCCCTGACCCCTTGCGCTTCCCGAGTGAGGCAATGCCTCGCCCTGCTTCGGCTCACGCATGGTGCACTGCACCCACTGTCCTGTGCCCACTGTCTGGCACTCCCTAGTGAGATGAACCCAGTACCTCAGATGGAAATGCAGAAATCACCCGTCTTCTGCGTCACTCACGCTGGGAGCTGTAGACCGGAGCTGTTCCTATTCGGCCATCTTGGCTGCTCCCTCATAGGTAAATTCTTGACGGAAGGTGACATTTGGAGGAAGGGAAGAACTCTAGGGAAGATTCTCATTTTTGTGGCTTTTAGTTTGAGGGCAATCCCTATCTGAGCCATTCAAGGTGCCTAGTAGCTGATTTAAAAACCACCAGAGGACAGAGTTCAGGACAATTCAAGCCACTGGAAAGGTTAGAGGGAAATTACACAAAGAAAAGAAGATAAGATAGGGAGCCCCAGATTCTTTGTATAAACTCTACCCAAATCTCCACCTGACCCCTGAACTACATATGCATAAAGAAGACTAAGCAGCCTAGCAAAAGCTAAAAAAACTAAAATGCAATGTGAGCTGCTACCTAAACATAGAATTTACATTTTAAATCGAATAGTGTTAATTATATATTAAAGAAAAAAATAATAATAATCAGAAGAATATAACACAATCTAGGGTTTCAAGAATATGATATTCATAATAGCCAGGATATAATTTAGAAATACTTGACATTTGAAGAAACAGAAAAGTGAAACTAATTCTTAAGATAAAAGACAATGAGCAAAAAGTGATCCCAAGCAAGACAATCCAGATTTTAAAATTCACATACAGATGTTTAAAGCAAGCATAATAAAAATGTCCAGCATAAAGGAAAATATGCTCATAATAAATAAAATTATGGAAATCTTAGCAGAGAAATATAAGCTATAAAAAATGCATGCCCACACCTATAATCCCAGCATTTCAGGAGGCCAAGGTGGGAGGATTGCTTGAGGCCAGGAATTCAAGACCAGCCTGGGCAACATAGCAAGACACTATGTCTATAAAACACATTTTGAATTAGCCATCCATGGTGGTACACACTTATAATCCTAGCTCCTTGGGAAGCTGAGGCAGGAGGATCATTTGAGCCCAGGAGCTCAAAGCTGCAGTGAGCTATGATCCTGCCACTGTACTCCAGCCTGGGTAATAAAAATAAGACAATGTCTCTTTAAAAAAAAAATAGTCAAATGGAAATTCTGGAACTGAAAATCATAATATCTGAATTTAAAAATTTAATGTATGAGCATAAGAACAGATGGGATCTGATGACAGTGGAAAAAGTCAAACCACTTGAAAATATATCGATACAAAATACCCAATCTAAATACAAACAACAAAGATTTTTTTTAACTAACAGATACTGAGGCAACTGTGGGATAAAATCATATGTCTAATATATAATTGTATCCCATAAGGAAAAGAGAGAGAGGAAGTGGTAGACAAAATATTTTTAAAATAATAATACATTGAAAATGTCCCAAACTTGGTGAAATTAACATACTCAACATGTTCAGTGCTGCCCAAGTTGATATTTACAAAGAAAATCATGCTCACGTAAAACAAAGCCAAACTGCTGAAAACCAAATAAAAGGAAAAAAAAAAAGCAATAAAAGTGGCCAAAGAAAAATGACATATTATACAAAAGGAAATGATGATTTTAATAATTGCTTCTCAGCAGAAAAAAATGAAAGCCAAGCAAAAATAGAAAAAATATCTTTACAGAATAAATGCCCCTTTTCTGTAACAAAGTTATTTTAAGAAACAAAAGAAATCCCTAAATCTACATTTTATTCTCATTGAAATTTGAGAGAACACAGCATCTATAAAACAAAAGCACGTGATAATGGGAACAAAAGTAAACCTTACAACAACTGCACAAGCGATTTCAACACATGACCAATGAGCTGCTGAGGAAACATGTCCATAAACAGGCACAGAAATGCAATAAACCATGGGATGGGACTAAGTAACTTCAGAGAGGAAGTTGAACAATCCAAAGACATAGCCCCTACTAAAGCAGAGCTAGAGGGATAAACAGAAAATAATTAGAAAGAAAACATTAAGACCCTGATAGTGTTCTCTGAATGATGGAATTAGAACCCTAAATTAGGATCTCCTGAGATTTTTAAAGAAAGCAAACATGACTTTTTTAACTTAAAAGTTCAAGAGGAAGTGAAAAGGAGAAAGGTTGCTTACTTTTGAGAATAAGTTTAGAAATCTTGTAAATTAAATGGAAGACATATCTCATACCACAGAACAAACATACACATAGAAGCCATGATGAAAAAGATAGAAGACTTAAAACAGTCAATGTAGAAATCATAATATTCAAATACGAGTCTCAGCGGGATAAAAGGAAGAAGAAAGTTAAATGATGACGAAAGAAATAAGAAAACTCCCTTGATATAGATAAAAAATTTGAGATATGATAAAAATTTCTATGTTTCAATGAGAAACAAGAGCAAGAAGTAAGGAGTCTAGGTACCAGACAACATCAAACTACTGTACTTGCTGGAACCATCAACTCAAACTTTACATGAGATAAAAATGATATTCTACCTTGTTTAAGCCATTGAATTATATGGCGTCTCTTTTTATAGCAGCCTAGTCTATATTCTAACGAATAAAGATGATAGAAAATTAAAATAATGAAACAAATCTAGACTTAATTGAATTTTATACACAGGGAGAGAGAAAATATATACCCCACTGTGGCAGACTACAAATGGCCATAAATTCTTCACAATAGCTCCCATAAAAAGGTACAATCTATTTCCTCACTTCTTGAAACTCAGTTGGCCTAATTCTTGTTGGGGCCAAGAGGATACAACACAAATGACACCATGAGTGATGTGAGCTGAGGCCTCCAGAGATCTTTCAGCTTTGTTTTAATCTCTTGCTACTAGGGATCCTTCTTTAAACTACCCAGAGCTATCATCCTGGAAGATAAGAGACTAGAAAGAAGTCCCACCTGTCCCAGATGTCCCAGCTGGAACGTCAGACATAGGAATAAAACTTATCTTGCACATCCAAACTAAGCTGAGCTGCCCAGCAACTATGAGAAATAATGATTCTACTGTTTTAAGTTACTACGTTTTGGAATAATTTGTTATTTAGGAAAAGCTAATTGGTATACCTAGCAGTAGAAAATGTGCATTATTTTATGTCATTAGAACACTTACAAAAATTGAATATTGTACTGGATTATTTCCATAAATGGCTACCAACAATTTTTTCCCACCCTATATATGCATGCTACTCTTACCTATGAATATGGACTGGCCTTATGACTTCCTTACAGAATGTGTCCTCTCCTTAAAAAGTTAAAAATAGGCCAAGCACAATGGCTCACACCTGTAATACCAGCACTTTGGGAGGCCAAGGCAGGCAGATCACGAGGTCAAGAGATCGAGACCATCCTGGCCAACATGGTGAAACCCCGCCTCTACTAAAAATACAAAAATTAGCTGGGTGTGGTGGCGCCCGCCCATAGTCCCAGCTACTCAGGAAGCTGAGGCAGGAGAATCACTTGAACCCAGGAGGCAGAGGTTGCAGTGAGCTGAGATCGCACCATTGCACTCTGGCCTGGCCACACAGCAAGACTCCATCTCAAAAAAAAAAAAAAATTAAAAATAGAACTAACATATAATCCAGTAATCTTACTGTTAGGTATGTACAAAAAAAGGAAATCAGTATATTAAAAAGATATCTGCACTCCCATGTTTATTGCACCACAATTCAAAAATAACTAAGATTTAGAAGCAATGTAAGTGTCCATCAACAGACAAATGAATAAAGAAAATGTAGTACACATACATAATGGAGTACTATTCAGCCATACAAAAAGAATGAGATCCTGTCATTTGCAACTGGAGGTCACTACATTAAGTGAAATAAGCCAGGCACAGAAAGACAAACTTCACATGTTCTCACTTATTTGTGGGAGCTAAAAATCAAAACAAACTCATGGAGATAGAGCGCAGAATGATGGTTATCAGAGGCTGCAAATAGTAGTAGGGGGTGGAGTGCAGTGGCAATGGTTAATGAGTACAAAAATATAATTAGAAAGAATGAGTAAGATCTAGTATTTGATAGCACAACAGGGCAACTACAGTCAACAATCATTTATTGTACATTTTAAAAAAACTTAAAAAGACCCACAGACCCTCTGAAGGAAGCAGACAGCTCCTGCAGGACCTGGGAGACACCCCAAATACTGTGAGTGCCCCAACTGCGGAAGCAGGAAAGGGAGACCCTCCTTTCCCGAAAACACACTCTCCACTGGAGAAACAGAAGGTCTGTTTGTTGGAAAAGTTTCTGACCTTACTTGGAACTGAGTCCATTTAGAGAGCCAAGTGAAATATAAGAGTAGAAGAAGCAGCAGAAAAGCCCTGGGAGCTCACTGGGTCCTGAAGCAGGCCATTCCTGCCTGGAAACACAGGGATCCATTGGGAGGACAGACAGAGGACCAGGGGGTAAAACTCCACAGGGAAAAGCAGTTCTAGCTGAACTTTGTAACAATTTGAACAGGGCAAGAAACCTCCTGGCCAGAACTCAGGGGAGGGCACAAATCTGGTGTGCAGACTCCATAGGTCTGGGAAGAACCAAGCCCTTTTCTTTCGCAGCTGTGAAGGCGGGTAGCTTGGAGCAAGTTTTCAAGCCCAACTCGCCCACCGTCTGGAAACAGACTTGGGGCTATTGCAGGGGAGGTTGGGAGCAACACGGGCCCTTCATTTTGGGTGGGAGCTGGGTGAGCCCTGTGACTGCCCACTTGGCCGGACAACTCTGACAACCTGCATGACTCAGCAGAGGCAGCCATAACCCTCCTAGGTACACAACTCCAGTGACCTGGGAATCTCACCCCATTCCCCACAGCAGCCACAGCAAGACTCACCCAAGGAGTCAGACCTCAGCCACACCTAGCCCTGCCCCCACCTTATGGTCCTTCCCTACCCACCCTGGTAGGGGAAGACAAAGGGCACATAATCTTGGGAGTTCTAGGGCCACAGCCACCGCCTCTTCCTCTCCATACTACCACAGCTGATGCTCTCTGGAAAGTGCCACCTCTCAGCAGGAGGCCAACCAGCACAAAAATAGAGCATTAAACCACCATATCACAGGACTCTGTGCAAACAACCCCCAATAGCAGCCCAGAGCCAGGTAGACTCACTGGGTAGCTAGACCCAGAAGAGAGACAACAATCACTGCAGTTTGGCTCACAGGAAGCCACATCCATAGGAAAAGGGGGAGAGTACTACATCAAGGGAACACCCCATGGGACAAAAGAATTTGAACAACAGCCTTCAGCCCTAGACCTTCCCTAAGACAGAGCCTATCCAAATGAGAAGGAACCAGAAAACCAACCCTGGAAATATGACAAAACAAGGCTCTTTAACATTCCCCACAAAAATCATAATACTTCATCAGCAATGGACCCAAACCAAGAAGAAATCCCGGCTTTACCTGAAAAAGAATTCCGGAGGTTAGTTATTAAGGGAGGCACCAGAGAAAGGTGAAGCTCAATGCAAGGAAATCCAAAAAATGATACAACAAGTGAAGGGAGAAATACTCAAGAAAATAGAAAGCTTAAAGAAAAAAACAATCAACAATTCAGGAAACTCTGGACACACTTTTAGAAATATGAAATGCTCTGGAAAGTCTCAGCAATAGAACTGAACAAGTAGAAGAAAGAAATTCAGAGCTCAAAGACACAGTCGTCAAATTAACCCAATTCAACAAAGATAAAAAAAAAGAATTAAAAAAAAAAAAAAAGACTCCAAGAAATCTGAGATTATGTTAAATGACCAAACCTAAGAATAAACGATTTTCCTGAGGAAGAAGAGAATTCTAAAATCTTAGAAAAAATATTTGGAGGAATCATCAAGGAAAACTTCCCCAGCCTTGCTAAAGATCTAGACATCTAAATACAAGAAGCACAAGGAACACCTGGGAAATTCATCACAAAAAGATCTTCACCTAGGCACATTGTCATCAGGTTATCCAAAGTTAAGATGAAGGAAAGAATCTTAAGAGCTGTGAGACAGAAGCGCCAAGTAACCTATAAAGGAAAACCTATCAGATTAACAGCAGATTTCTCAGCAGAAACTCTACAAGCTAGAAGGGATTGGGGCCCGATCTTCAGCCTCCTTAAACAAAACAATCATCAGCCAAGAATTTTGTATCTAGCGAAACTAAGCATTATATATGAAGGAGAGATACAGTCTTTTTCAGACAAACAAATGGTGAGAGAATTCGCCATTACCAAGCCACCACTACAAGAACTGCTAAAATGAGCTCTGAATCTTGAAACAAATCCTGGAAACACATCAAAACAGAACCTCTTTAAAGCATAAATTCACACAGGATCTATAAAACATAAATACAAGTTAAAAAGCAAAAGCAAAAAACAAATAAACAAGAACCCAAAGTACACAGGCAACAAAGAGCACGATGAATGCAACAGTACCTCACATTTCATTACTAACATTGGACTTAAATGCTCCACTTAAAGACACAGAACTGCAGAATGGATAAGAACTCACTAACCAACTATCTGATGCCTTCAGGAGACTCGCTAACACATAAGGACTCGCATAAACTTAAAGTAAATGGGTGGAAAAAGGCATTTCATGCAAATGGACACCAAAAGCAAGCAGGGATAGCTATTCTTACATCAGACAAACAAACTTTAAAGCAACAGCAGCCAAAGGAGACAAAGAAGGATATTTTGTAATGGTGAAAGGCCTTGTCCAACAGGAAAATATCACAATCCTAAACATTTATGCACCTAACACTGGAGGTCCCAAATTTATAAAACAATTACTAATAGACCTAAGACATGAGATAGACAGCAACACAGTAATAGTGGAGGACTTAAGTACTCCACTGACAGTACAAGACAGGCCATCAAGACAGAAAGTCAACAAAGAAACAGTGGATTTAAACTATACCTTAGAACAAATGGACTTAACAGATGTATACAGAACATTTCATCCAACAACCACAGAATACACATTCTATTCAACAGCGCATGGAACTTTCTCCAGGATAGACCATATGATAGGCCATAAAATGAGCCTCAATAAATTTAAGAAAATTGACAGTATATCAAGCACTCTCTCAGACCACAGTGGAATAAAATTGGATATCAACTCCAAAAGGAACCTTCAAAACCATGCAAATACATGGAAATTAAATAACCTGCTCCTGAATGAGCATTGGGTCAAAAACAAAATCAAGATGGAAATTTAAAAATTCTTCGAACTGAATGACAATAATGACACAACCTACCAAAACCTGTGGGATACAGCAAAGGCAGTGCTAACAGGAAAGTTCATAGCCCTAAAAGTGTACCTCAAAAACACTGAAAAAGCACAAACTGACACTCTAAGGTCACACCTCAAGGAACTAGAGAAACAAGAACAAACCAAACCCAAACCCAGCAGAAGAAAGGAAACAACCAAGATCAGAGCAGAACTAAATGAAATTGAAATAAAAACAATACAAAAGATAAATGAAACAAAAAGCTGGTTCTTTGAAAGATAAATAAAACTGATCGACCATTAACAAGACTAAATGAGAAAAGAAGAGAGAAAATCCAAAAAACCTCACTAAGAAATAAAACAGGAGATATTACAACTGACACCACTGAAATACAAAAGATAATTCAAGGCTACTATGAACACTTTTATGCACATAAACTAGAAAACCTAGAAGAGATGGATACATTCCTGGAAAAATACAACCCTCCTAGCTTAAATCAGGAAGAATTAGATGCTCTGAACAGACCAATAACAAGCAGTGAGGTTGAAATGGTAATTTAAAAATTACCAACAAAAAAAAGGGCCAGGACCAGATGGATTCACAGCAGAATTCTACCAGACGTTCAAAGAAGAATTGGTACCAATCCTTTTGACACTATTCCTTAAGATAGAGAAAGAAGGAACCCTCCCTAATTCATTCTATGAAGCCAGCATCACCCCAATACCAAAACCAGGTAAAGACATAACTAAAAAAGAAAACTACAGACCAATATCCCTGATGAACATAGATGCTAAAATCCTTAACAAAATACTAGCTAACTGAATCCAACAATATAACAAAAAGATAGTCCACCATGATCAACTGGGTTTCATACCAGGGATGCAGGGATGGTTTAATATACCCAAGTCAATAAATGTGATACACAACATAAAAAGAATTAAAAACAAAAATCACACAATCATCTCAGTAGATGCAGAAAAATCATTCAACAAAATCCAGCATCCCTTAAAACTCTCAGCAAAACGGCATACAAGGGACATACCATAATGTAATAAAAGCCATCTATGACAACCCAATGCCAACATAATACTGAATGGAGAAAAGGTGAAAGCATTCCCTCTGAGAACTGGAACAAGACAAGGATGCCCATTCTCACCACTCCTCCTCAACATAGTATTGAAAGTCCTAGCAAGAGCTATCAGACAAGAGAAAGAAATAAAAGACACCCAAATCAGTAAAGAAGTAGTCAAACTGTCACTGTTTGCTGACAATCATTTACCTTGAAAACCCTAAAGACACCTCCAGAAAGCTCCTAGAACTGATAAAAGAATTCAGCAAAGTTTCTGGATACAAGATTAATGTACACAAATCAGTAACTCTTCTATACACCAACAGCAACCAAGCGGAAAATCAAATCAAGTACTCAACTCCTTTTACAATAGCTGAAAAAAAAAAAAAACTTAAGAATATACCTAGCCAAGGAGTTGAAAGACATCTACAAGGAAAACTACAAAACATTGCTGAAATAAATCATAGATGACACAAACATATGGAAACACATCCCATGCTCATGGATGGGTGGAATCAATATTGTGAAAATGACCATACTGCCAAAAGCAATCTACAAATTCAATGCAATCCCCATTAAAATACCACCATAATTCTTCACAGAACTAGAAAAAACAATCCTAAAATTCATATGGAACCAAAACAGAGCCCCCATAGCCAAAGTAAGACTAAGCAAAAAGAAGAAATCTGAAGGCATCACACTACCTGATTTCAAACTATACTATAAGGCCATAGTCACCAAAACAGCATGGTACTGGTATAAAAACAGGCACACTGACAATGGAACAGAAAAGAGAACCCAGAAATAAACCCAAATACTTACAGCCAACTGATCTTCGACAAAGCAAACAAAAACATAAAGTGGGGAAAGGACACCCTATTCAACAAATGGTGCTGGGATAATTGGCTAAACACATGTAGGAGAATGAAACAGGATCCTCATCTCTCACCTTATACATAAATCAACTTAAGGTGGGTTAAGGACTTAAACCTAAGACATAAAACTATAAAAATTCTAGAAGATAACATTGGAAAACCCCTTCTAGACATTGGCTTAGGCAAGGATTTCATGACCAGGAACCCAAAAGCAAATGCAATAAAAATGAAAATAAATATCTGGGACCTAATTAAACTAAAAAGCTTTTGCACGGCAAAAGGAACAGTCAGCAGAGTAATCAGACAACCCACAGAGTGGAAGAAAATCTTCACAATCCATACATCTGACAAAGGACTAACACCTAATATCTATGACGAACTCAAACAAATCAATAAGAAAAAAACAAAGTATCCCATCAAAAAGTGGGCTAAGAACGTGAATAGACAATTCTCAAAAGAAGATATACAAATGGCTAACAAACATATGAAAAAATGCTCAACATCATGAATGATCAGGGAAATGCAAATCAAAACCACAATGCCATACCACCTTGCTCCTGCACGAATGCCCATAATCAAAAAATCAAAAAACAGTAGATGTTGGTGTGGATGCGGTGATCAGAGAACACTTCTACACTGCTGGTGGGAACACAAACTAGTACAGCCACTATGGAAAACGGTGTAGAGATTCCTTAAAGAACTAACAGTAGAACTACCATTTGATCCAGCAATCCCACTACTGGGTATCTACCCAGAGAAAATGAAGTCATTATTCAAAAAAGATACTTGCACATGCATGTTTATAGCAGCACAATTCACAACTGCAAAATCATGGAACCAACCCAAATGCCCATCAATCAACAAGTGGATAAAGAAACTGTGGTATATTTATATGATGGAATACTACTCAGCCATAAAAAGGAATGAATTAATAGCATTTGCAGTGACCTGGATGAGATTGGAGACTATTATTCTAAGTGATGTAACTCAGGAATGGAAAACCAAACATCGGATGTTCTCACTGTAGGATATAATAAATTCCTCTTCAAAGGTTTTAGCCTGTAAATTGTTAAGTACAATGATTTCTGAGATCCTCTCCAAAGAACCAATGTATCAGGATGTTCAGCTCCCGTGTTCTTTGTCCGCCATTTTAAAGTTTAACTTCTTCATTCTCCTCGCCCCTAGTTTCAGTAAACAACCTTTTCCACCAGTTCTAATCAGTAGTTCACATATGTTTCCCTGGTCACCTGCTACGTCTTGAGTCACCCCTGATCACCTGCTCCGTCCTGAGTCACCCTGGTCACCTGCTCTGACCTGAATTATCTGTTCTGTAGCTGCCCTTCCTGCCAAACTACTGACTCTGCCCCTCCAGTTCATACTCCTGCTCTCTTTAAAATAGCCAATCGGAATTAGCTTAGACTGTGCGGTCCAACCCTAGCCAATAGGGGAATAACACAGCAGTAGGGGCTACCTGCACCAGGAATAAGAACCCCTTCCCCTCCCTTGTTCAGGTGTGCTCCTGCCATTGCTCCATCCGCAAGTCACACCCTTCTATAGAAGTAAAATTACCTTGCTGAGAAAATTAAATTTATGTTCGAGTGCTGTTTCTTTGGCGGCACCAAATATTTATTTATAACATCAATGATATGTGGGAGGTAAGCTGTGAGGATGCAAAGACATAAGAATGATACAATAGACTTTGGGGACTTGAGGGCAAGAGTGGGAGGTGGGCGAGGGATAAAAGACTACAAATATGGTGCAGTGTATACTGCTTGGATGATGGGTGCACCAAAATCTCACAAATCACTGCTAAAGAACTTACTCATGTAACCAAATACCACCTGGACCCCAATAACTTATGGAAAAATAAATTTAAAAATAAATAAATGACAAAAACAACTAAGAAAGTATAATTGGATTATCTATAACACAAAGAAATGAAAAGTGCTTGAGGAGATGGATACTCATTTACCCTGATGTGATTATTATGCATTGTATGCTTGTATCAAAATATCTCATGTATCCCATAAATATATACACCTACTATGTACCCACAGAAATAAAAATAAATTTTTTTTTAATAAAATAAGACGGCAGGCAAAAATCTAAAATAATCCCATGACCTTCACCCTTAGGGTCATGTTATATATAATAATCCAGCCCCTCTGAGTGTGGGTGGGATCTGTGGCTTGCTTCTGGCCAATAGAATATGGCAAAGTGATGGGATGCCACTCCCTTTATTAGGTTCATTATATAGCAAGAGTGAGAGGATGTCACTCCTATGATCAAGTTACATTATATTAGAACTCTGTCTTAGCAGACAAGAGAGACTCTTGTGAGCTAGCCAGGCATGGTGGCTTATGCCTATAATCCCAAAAATTTGAGAGGCTGAGGCAGGAGGATCATTTGAGGCCAGGAATCCAAGACCAGCCTGGGCAACATAGCAAGAGCTTGGTGTTACAAAAAACTTAAAAAACATAAAACTTAGCAGGGTGTGATGGTGCATGCCTGTAGTCCTAGATACCTGGGAGGGTGAGGCGGGAGGATGGCTTGAGCCCAGGAGTTCAGGCTGTAGTGAGCTAGGGTCATGCCACTGCACTCCAACCTAGGTGACAGAGTGAGACCCTGTAGAAGAAGAAAGAAGGAAGAGGAGGAGGAGGAAGAGGAAGAAGAGGAGGAGGAGGAGGAAAGGTGCTATGATACGAACAATCTATGGAAAAGACCATGTGGCAGGAAACTGCAGACTGCCCCTAGAAGTTAAGTGCCTCAGCCCTAAACTGCAAGGAACTGAAGTTTATCACATCCACTTGAGCTTGGAAGAGGATTCTCAAGACATATAATGGAATGGAGCCCAGCCAACACTTTGATAATAGCCTGGTGAGCATAAGTTGATTACAGCATAGGACACAGCTAAGCCATGCTCAGATGCCGAACCCACTGAAACTATGAGATAATATAAATTGTTTAAGCTGCTAAATTTGTGGTAACTTGCTATGCAGCAATAGAAAACTAATGCTACAAAATAGTACATTTTATATTCACTATTTTATGTGGTACTCTTGTTTTTTACAAAATTTATGTTATCTAGTTCTTGGGTCATTCAGGTGTATACATACTTGTACGCTTGCACATACTTGTACACTTAACTCGAGCCATTCACTGAAATGGGTGATATAATGCTAGATGGTTGTTAAGAAATTAACATCTAGCTGTCTCTACCCCAATTTCCCAGTTTGGGAAATAATCGTTAGATAAAACAAAGGCTCTGCCTTTTCTGATACCACACTCCACAGATATTTTCTCACATCTTTTTAAACATTTTGCAATCACATGTTGTTTATAGGAAGTTTACAGGGTATGCAATGATTAAAATTTTTAAGTGACTTGATAAGTTGCAAAAGAAGGATAATATTTAAGGTCAGTGAGTAGCAAGACAATCTAAAGTTTCTATAATATCTGGTACTCTGTTAATTATAGAGCAAAGATTCCCTTACAGAATCCTTTCATAAACAGCATGCTAGAGTCTATCCCCAGTGGTTATAGCATTCGATATGTTTTTCAGGAGACAGTTATGCCAGGGTGATTTGAATGGATAGATGTGCTGTTTTGCCTGCTTGTAGAATTCAGCCCAGTCTTTGGTCTCTCCTTCTCTCCCTCCTCCACCTCTCCTTCTCTATTCTTCTGCACTAGAGCCTAAGGCTGCCTCACCAACATGCGTCATTTTTTCCAGAGGCTACATCTTTTTTTTTTTTTTTTTTTTTTTGAGACGGAGTTTTGCTCTGTTGCCCAGGCTGGCGTGCAGTGGTGTGGTCTCGGCTCACTGCAGCCTCCGCCTCCTGGGTTCACGCCAGTCTTCTGCCTCAGTCTCTGGAGTGGCTGGGACTGCAGGCACGTGCCACCATGCCCAGCTAATTTTTGTATTTTTGGTAGAGACAGGGTTTTGCCGTGTTGGCCAGGCTAGTCTCGAACTCCTGACCTCAAGTGATCTGTCCGCCTCAGCCTCCCGAAGTGCTGGTATTACAGGCGTAAGCCACCGCATCCTGCCCAGACATACGAAATTTGACAGGTATTGTGTACCCTTTGGATCTTTAGGAATTAATTTTTGCCTCTGTCACTCAGCTTTGCATATTTTGAAATGGAGATAAGTATAGGGAGGTCATGGAAGGAAAATTGCCAGAATTCCCAAACCATGTAACACTCATTGAGAATTCCAGATTCATTATATCTAAAGGGCAAGTGAAGGAAACAGTAGCGTGAACTGGGTATAACTCCTTGGTTCTTAACTAGTACATTCTTAATTTGTGAGACCAAAATGTTGATAAACAATAATTTAAGATTGTACAGTACTCTAAACATCTACAAAGGTCTAGATATTATCAGTATCACTAGTTTTTATTTCTGCCAGTAGCTCCCTTTTAGGTTACATTGTTGTCCTCTTTCCAGTGTGGCATCTGTCATTGGTTTTTTACCATGGCAAGTTCATTAAAAAGCTTGCTCCACTGTTGTCTTCAAGTAATGCCCATAAGGAGATGGAAGATATCTGAGACAATTAAGTCTTTAGCTTCTAGACAAGAGAAATAACGTTGCATTAAATTCCAAGTTTCTTTCTGCTAGACTTGAATGTGTCTAGCCACTCTAATTTATGGGGGCTTTTGGTTTTTTTCCTATTGTACTTTGTATGTAGAATTGTTTTGAAATATTAAGCATATTTGCTTTGAATTTGAAATCTTTCTTAATTTTGTATTTATCCTTTGAATAAAACGTAAATCCAAAAAAAAAGAAATTAACATGTAGCAAAAGAAAAAAGAATATTCAAAAGCCAAAATGTAATAACAGCTTACCTGTATTCCTCTAATTAGATCACACAAACCAGAGTCAGACACAGAGTTTACAATTTCTGAAGAAGTTTTTCGTTGCATCTTAAAATGTTTACACCTTTTTAAGACAAATAGAGTAGCTATTGTTTTACACATTTGGGTTATGAAAATTTTGAAAAATTTGAAATTCAAATAGGTTAAAGGGAATTATCCAAAGTCATATAATCAGTAAGTTGCTGTTCTGACTCCTGATATGATGCTCTTTCCTCCATGGTATTGCCTGTAGTTGTTTAAACCATGGTAATTTTCATAATATTGACATAAATATGCCTGGGTTTGACATTTCATTCTCTGAACTTTGATGAGAAGAGTCCATCAACAAGAAAGACATTATCTCAGGAAGAATTTTAGTACACACACACACAGAGACACATACACACACACAGACATATATACCCTATAATCACATACGTAATAATGTTTCTCTATATATGACTATCAGAGCAAGTATTAATCAAATATTGATGCATAGAGAGAGTGGGTGTGTTACCTGTACTTGATCCAAATCTTCTTTTATTTTAAACTCTTTTTCTGGAGACATCTTCCTGTAACATAAAATGTTTTAAAATGCATCATGATATTTTTAAATGCATCACTGCTTTGCTTTCTTGAGGAGGACTTTTTAAACGATTTTAAAATAATGAAGTTTTTTTAAAAAAATTCATATTTCTAAGAGACATAAAATTCATACAGGCTAAATTACAAACAACTGAATAACATTTCTCAAACTAACTTCTCACTGGTATGATTAAAATGTGAAAAGACTGATAGTCAAAGCATATTGGTCATTTTTTCTTCTCGGGTCATTTTTTGTTAAAGGTCAAAGCCATTTGTCCCATGAATTTCTTTTCAGGATTTGTGGAATTCTATAAAGTTTGACTTCATAGTTTCCTTTTAAAATTATTTTAATATTAGGGTTTAACCAGGCAAATTCAAATGCAATAATTATAATACTAAAGAAAATATTTACTTAATAATGTCACTTTATAATAATACACATACACAAAAAATAAATAACTTTTTATAAGAATAATACAATTAATAAGTACAGTAGAAAAGAACAGCCAACACTGTGGAGTTAACAAATTACAAAGCATGAGCTAGACCATCAAAGAAACAATGTAAATGCTTTTTTCCTAAAATTAAAGATTTAATTCTGTTCACCTATTTCTGAATGTATTGTGGTTCAATCTCCTCTTCCAGTCCATTTTTGGTTCTTTGTTCTTCCCTTTTTAGCTTTATCCCATAATCATATACTGGTATGCTTATAAAAACATGTATTTGCCAATTTTATGTTTTTAAAAGATTATTCATAAGTTATGTTTATTTGACTTTAAATTGTTTGTATAAAAAGAAAATATAAATTAACAAGGAAAAAAAGATTAACATGTATCTTTATGTCTTACTTTTCTGAATCCTCAGATTTTCCTTTGTCTTTTTTCTTCACTGTTTTCACAGCTTTCTTTGTTCGATTATTTGTAGGCTTAGTTTTCTGTATAATTTTACATAAGCCAGAAATAAAGGGTTAAAAACACAATAAGTTATAGAAAGATATGATAATATACATTATTAATGTACATTTTACTCTGAGAGTCACTATACAACGTTTCAGGAAAAATTATCTGCATAGAAGCAAAATAAAATGACACATCTGGTCTGTTTGTAATAGTGCTTTACGTGGTGTAAGTTGTATATAACCTAATACATATTAAAACATTTAAATTTTTCTGACAATATCAATCAATTATGTTATAATGTGGTATATGCCTTCCTGAAAATCACCTCACTATGCAAAAACATGCAATAAAACCTGTAGGATGTATGGGGGAAATGGGTTAGGTGCACATCTTGCAAAAACCTTGTTGGTGATATATTTTTAAAAATAAAAACCTAAGAAAAACAGTACTATAGTACACAGTCATTAAGAATACATAAATACCATGAGAAATATAGACTTTTATTTTGAGAAAGACCTGAAACTTGTTTGTGAAAGTGAGCATTGAATAGGTTGCAACTTGTGAGTTATTGCACAGTGGAAGGAAATTATCTGAAATTAAAATGTCATACCACCAGATGTGAGCTGGTGTGGCACACTATATACAGGTGAACCAAGGTAGATGGAGAAAGTTGCTTTCTGCTTTTTTTTTTTTTTTTTTTTGAGATGGGAGTCTCACTCTGTTGTCCAGGCTGGAATGCAGTGGCATGATCTCGGCTCACTGCAAGCTCTGCCTCCTGGGTTCAAGCAATTCTCCTGTCTCAGCCTCCTCAGTAGCTGGGACTACAGGGGCACGCCACCACGCCCGGCTAATTTTTGTATTTTTAGTAGAGACAGGATTTCACCATATTGATCAGGCTGGTCTTGAACTCCTGACCTCTGGTGATCCGCCCGCCTCGGCCTCCCAAAGTGCTGGGATTACAGGCACGAGACACTGCACCCGGCCTTTCTGCTTTCACTCATTGTTTTTGCAGATGAAATTGCTTAAGCATATGTGAAATTCAAACTATGCTCAAATCGTTCAATTATGTTGGAACAAGTTTGCATTTCAAAACAAATATTATAGCAGAACTAATCAGGTTTTAAAGTATTCTTGAGCTGCTGTGTAGTAGAAGATCATTTTATAAAAGAAAGTAAGGGAAAAATTAACAATTAGATTATTAAAAATTTTAGGACGTTTGGACAAGATAGCTGACTAGAAGCATCTCATATGCACCATTCTCACAGAGCAGAAACAAAAGGGGCTAGTGAACATTGACCCTGTAGGCCGATCATCTGAGAAACCACGTTACTATCCATCAAGGCAGCAGGGTAACAGAGAGCAGAGAGGAGTGAGGTGAGGCACCAGCATGTCTGGGCTCAGTGCAGAGCCAGGAGAACCTTTCAATATGGGAAAGGCTGAGTAAGTGAACCATTTTCCAACATGTGAAAGGGTGAGAGCCCCTAGGGGGATTCAGCTCTCCACAGGGACCTGTGCAAGACTGGGAGTGGGAGAATCCCCCTGGGCCCCCACCAACTCCACCACATTTCTAGACTGAGGTAGGAGCCACTGGGACATTTTGTGGGGGCAACTCTTGAGTCCACGGTGACCTCTACAAGCCTTGGGCCCAAGGGCAGACCAGCACCAATGTCACTGCCTCAGTAAAGACCACAGTTGCAGTGCCTGGGAGCTGTATGATTTATCCATGTATTCTTGCCAGATGAGGCTCAAGGCCAGCTTCTGGACTAGCAGGCCCACTTTGGGCCGAACTCAGCTGGCCATTCCACCCACCCTCACCACTGGTAGCCAGGCGGGTAAGGCTTGCTAGAGCTTCCAGCCCAGCAGTCCTGCTCTTGTGTGAACTCAGCTGGAGGGTGTAGCCACCTGTTTTCCCAGGAAATACCCAGAGAGCTGAGCAGGTGACCCCACCCACCCCTCCCATTGATACCCATATGGGCAACACCTCCTAGAGCTTCCAGCCCAGTGGCCATGTTTCTGTGTAAACTCAGTGAGAGGGTGCACCTTCATGTTGTTCCAGGAAGCATCTAGACTATAGAGCAGGCATCCTCGCCCACCCCCACTGCTGGTAGCCAGGTGAGCCATGCCTGCTAGAGCTTCTAGCTCAGTGGTCCTACTTCTGCCTGAATTTGCCTCCTGCTACCCTGGAAACACCCAGAAGGCAGGGCGAGCAACTCTATCCACCCCTGTGGCTCTCTAAAATAAATCAATCAGACAAAAACAAAGAAAAAAGAATGAAAAAAAAAAAACTCAGAAATTTGGGGTTAGGTAGAGGTCAAATCTATGACTGATTGGTTCCTGAAAGAGGCGGGGAAAAAGCAAGCAACCTGGAAAACATATTTTGCTATATCATTGATGAACACTTACCCAACCTCGCTAGAGAGGACAACATTCAAATCCGGGAAATATACAGAGCCCCTGAAAGGTATTACATAAGAAGATAATCCCCAAGACACATAATCGTCAGATTTTCAAAGGTCAACATGAAAGAAAAAATGATAAAGGCAACTAGAGAGAATGTGCAGGTCACCTACAAAAAGAACCCCACCCATCAGGCTAAAAGTGGGCCTTTCAGCAGAAACCCTACAAGCCAGAAGAGACTGGGTTGGGGGTAGCCTATATTCAGCATTCCTAAAGAAAAAAATTTCCAGCCACGAATTTCATATCCAGCCAAACTGAATGTCATAAGTGGAAGAGAAATAAGATCTTTTCAGGCAATCAAATGCTAACAACATGATAGCGAGATCAAACCCATACATATCAATATTAACAGAGAATGCAAATGGGCTAAATGCCCAAATTAAAAGGTACAGAGTGGCAAGCTGGAAAAGGAAGCAAGACCCAATGGGTATGCTATCTTCAAGAGATCCATCTCACAGGCAATGACAATCATAGGCTCAAAATTAAAAGACAGAGAAAAATTTACCATGCACATGGAAAACAGGAAAAAGCAGGAGTTGCAAACCTAATTTCAGGCAAAATGGGACTTTAAGCAAATAAAGATCAAAAAAGGTAAAGATGGGCAGTACATATTGGTAAAGGGTTCAATTCTGCAAGAAGATTTAACTATTCTAAACATATACACACCCAACATAGGACCGCCCAGATTGATACCCAGGGTAAGCAAGTTCTTAGGGACCTACAAAGAGACTTAGACCCACACACAATAATAGTGGGAGATTGCTATTAAACAGAAGTCCCCACTGACAGTATTAGACCATTGAGGCAGAAAATAAACAAAGATATTCAGCACCTAAACTCAACACTTGACTAGTGGACAAATAGACACTACACAAGTCTCCACCCAAAAACAACAGAATATACATTCTTCTCATCACGACATAGCACATACTCCAAAAAATCTAACTGGCAATAAAATAATCCTTAGCAAGTTAAAAAAAAATCAAAATCATACCAACCACACTCTCAGACTACAGCAAAATAAAAATAGAAACCAAGACTAAGAAAATCACTCAAAACCATACAATTATGCGGAAATTAAACAACCTCCTCCTGAATGACATTTGGGTAAACAATGAAATTAAGGCAGAAGTTAGGAAGTTCTTTGAAACTAATGAGAACAAAGATACAACATATCAGAAAATCTAGTACACAACTAAGGCAGTGTTAAGAGGGAAGTTTATAACACTAAATGCCCAACATGAAAAAGTTAGAAAGATCTAAAATTAACAACCTAACATCACAACTAGAAGAAGAAGAGTAAACCAACCTCAAGGCAAGCAAAAGGCAAGAAGTACCAAAATCAGAATTGAACTGAAGAAATTGAGATACAAAAAAAATACAAAAGATCAACAGATCCAGAAATTGGTTTTATAAAAAAAAATAATAAGATAGACCACTAGCTACACAAATAAAAACAGAGAGAAGATCCTGATAAACACAATTAGAGATGACAAAGCAGATGTTACCACTGACACCACAGAAATACAAATCACCATCAGAAACTACTATGATCGCCTCTATGCACACAAACCAGAAAATCTATACTAGAAATGAGTACATCAAACTAGAAATGGATAAATTCCTGGACACATACAACCACCCAAAAATGATCCAGGAAGAAACTGAATCCCTGAGCAGACCAATAACAATTTCCAAAATTGAATTAGTAACAAAAAGCTTACCAAAAAAAAAGCCCAGGACCAGAGAGATTCACAGCCAAATTCTACCAGATATATAAAGAAGCGCTGGTGCCATTCCTACTAAATGATTGCTACTAAATTCCTACTAAAATTATTCAAAAAAACTGAGGAGGAGGGACTCCTCCCTAACTCATTCTATGAGGCCAGCATCATCCTGATACCAAAACTTGGCAGAGACACAACAAATAAAGAAAACTTCAGGCCAATATCTTGATGAACATAGATGCAAAAATCTCCTCAACAAAATACTAGCAAACTGCTTCCAGAAGCACATCAAAAACGTAATCCGCCATGATCAAATAGGCTCTATCCCTGGGATGCAAAGTTGATTCAACATAGGCAAATCAATAAATCTGATTCACCAAATAAATAAAACTAAAAACCAAAACCATAGTATTATCTCAACAGAGGCAGAAAAGACTTTCAATAAAATTCAACTCTCTTCATGTTAAAAACCTTCAATAAACTAGGCATTGAAGGAACATGCATCAAAATAATAAAAGCTATCTATGACAAAACCACAGCCAACATCATATTGAATAGGCAAAAGCTGAAAGCATTTCCCTTGAAAACCAGCACAAGACAAAGATGCCCTCTCTCACCATTTCTATCCAACACAATATTAGAAGTCCTGGCAAGAGCAATCGGGCAAGGGAAAGCAATAAAGGGCATCCAGATAGGAAGAGAGGAAGTGAAACTACCCCTGTTTGATGGCATGATTCTATATCTAGAAAACTCCATAGGCTTGGCCCAAAATCTCCTTCAGCTGATGAACAACGTCAGCAAAGTTTCAGGGTACGAAGTCCATATACAAAATTAGTAGCACTCCTATACAACAACATCCAAGCCAAGAGCCAAATCAGGAATACAATCCCATTCTCAACTGCCACAAAAAGAATAAAATATCTAGGAATATAGCTAACTAGGGAGGTGAAAGATCTCCACAATGAGAACTTTAAAACACTGCTCAAAGAAATCAGATGACACAAAAAAATGGGAAAACATTCCATGCTCATGGATAGGGAGACTCAATATTGTTAAAATGGTCATACTGCCCAAAGTGATTTAAAGATTCAATGCTATTCCTATCAAACTACCAATGTCGTTCTTCACAGAAATAGAAAAAACTATTCTAAAATGCGTAAGGAACCAAAAAAGAGTTGGAATAGCCAAGGCAATCCTAAGCAAAAAGAATAAAGTTAGAGGCATCACATACCCAACTTAAAACTATACTAAAGGGCTACAGTAACCAAAACAGCATGGTACAGGTGCAAAAACAGACACCTAGGCCAATGGAACAGAATAGAGAAGCCAGAAATAAGGCTGCACACCTAAAACTATCTGATCTTCAATAAACCTGACAAAAACAAGCAATGAAGAAAGGACTCCCCATTCAAAAAATGAGGCTGGAATAACTGGCCAGCCATATGCAGAAGACTGAAACTGTACCCCTACCTTACACCACATTCAAAAATCAACTTAAAATCAATTAAAGACTTAAATGAAAACCCAAAACTATAAAAACTCTGGAAGATAACCTAGGAAATACCATTCTGGACATAGGACTTGGCAAAGATTTCATGATAAAGATGCCAAAAGCCATTTCGACAAAAACAAAAATTAACAAATGAGATCCAAACTAAAGAGCTTCTGCATAACAAAAGAAACTATCAACAGAGTAAACAGGCAACCTAGAGATTGGGAGAAAATATTTGTAAACTATGCATCTGACAAAGGTGTTATATCCAGAATCTATAAGGAACTTAAACAAATTTACAAGGAAAAAATGACTCCATTAAAAAGGGGACAAAGGACATGAATGGACACTTTTCAAAAGAAGACATACATGTAGCCAACAAACATACAAAAAATGCACAACATCAGTAATCATTAGAGAAGTGCAAACCAAAACTATAATAAAATACCATCTCATACCAGTCAGAATGCCAATTATTAAAAAGTCAAAAAGTAACAGATGCCAGTGAGGTTGAGGAGAAAAGGGAAGACTTATGCACTGCTGGTGGGAGTGTAAATTAGTTCAGCCATTGTAGAAAGCAGTGTAGTGATTCCTCAAAGAACTTAAAAAAGAATAACTATTTGACCCAGCAATCTCATTGTTGGGTATATACCCAAAGGAATATATAAATCATTCTACCATGAAGACACATGCACATATATGTTTATTGCAGCACTATTCACAATAGCAAATACAGGGAGTCAACCTAAATGCCCAACAACGGTGGGCTGGATAAAGAAAATGTGATATGTATACTCCATGGAATACTATGTAGCTATAAAAAATAATGAGATAATATCCTCTGCAGCAACACAGATGGAGCTGGAAGCCATTATCCAAATGGCTAGTGCCAAATACCCCATGATCTTACTTATAAGGGGGAGCTAAACAACAAGACCACATGGATTCTAGGAGAGGAACATCAGACATTGGGGCCTACTTGAGAGTGGAGAGTGGTAGGAGGAAGGGGATTAGAAAAAATACCTATCTGGTACTATGCTTATTACCCAGGTGATAAAATTATCTGTACACCAAACACCCATGACATGCAGTTTACCTATATAACAAACCTGCTCATGTACCCCTAAACCTAAAATAAAAGTTAACCGAAGTGTGAGGTTTGCTGGGAGAAAACAGGTATATTCAAGTGCTAGCAGCTTGTGAGACAGCAAGACTCAAGTCTCAAAAAGCCATCTCAAAATCTCAAGCTGCCTAGAGGATGTTTAAGGGGAAAGGTGGCATGGAAATGATGCACAGGAGAGGCATGGGGTGTAGGTCTGCTTGTTGTTTTCTGATGGCTAGCTGGGGTAACAGACCATCCACAGGCCTGGCTGGTGTAATTTCTGCAGGGGTCTGATCATAGACTAACTGCTCCAATTTCTTCCTGGAAGGGAGAAAATTGCAACCACCCTCTCTGCTTCCTGCCTGGATTGTTTCAAGATTAGCTTTTGGAATTCTCAAGCAAACGGGTAGTTAGATACATGTGCAGCAAGAAACAAAGTGAGGGAGGGGTTACTTCTAGAGTAAACTAGCAACCTGGCTATCCCAGCAAGGACTAAACTTTGACCTTTTCTCTCTCTTGCTGAAATTCCTATTTAAGGGGTCTGGGAAGACATGCCCTATAAACCATAAAATCTAAATAGATGCATTTTATTTAACCCTATATAACATTGCTTACTATCCAACCTGACTCTGGCATCACATCACATGACAGATAAAGAAGGAAATCCAAATATTTAACCCCAAAATATGTTTCTTTGCCATATTTTGAAACAGTCCTGCAAAGCCATCTTCTACCAGGGAAATCTGCATCTGCAAATAACTTCTATTAACGTAATTAACGTAATATCTTTCCCCTTTCCTCCCAACCTTGAAGAGATTAGCTGAGAGTCCAGCACCTCTTAAAGGTCTAAACAGGAAACATTTGCTATCTATTGTTTCTAAGGGCAGCCACCTATGAGATTTCGTATAATAAGAACCTTGGTCTCCAAGCCCCTTCTCTTTACCTAGACACTCCTTTCTATTGATTCCAGATCTTTGGATAATAATAACTTGACTCTTTCAATCAACTGCCAGTCAGAAAACCTTGAATCCATCTATGACCTGTAAGCACCCCACACACGCATCCTTCCTTCAAGTTGTCCCACCTTTCCTGACGAAACCAATGTATACTTCACATGTATTGATTGATGTCTTATGTCTCCCTAAAATGTATAAAACCAAACTGTAACCCAATTGCCTTGGTCACTCATATTTGGCTCAGGGTAAACTTCTTTAAATATTTTTAAAAATTAGATTAGCTTAATAATAATTACCTATTAAGGCATTAGGTGGTTATTTCTTGTTTTAAACCACAACTCCCAATGGATACCAAATTCACTATAGTGGCAATCTTCTCATAAGTTAAATACAGAGCACTGAGATTTTCACCAGCAACAACCCAGAACATAAATATAAGGATGGGACATATTTTCCTACCATCTGCCCGGAGTTTTTCACCCAGAGAAGTGAAAAAACTCCGGGCAGATGGTAGGAAAATCGGACTTCCACATCCATGATGCCCCTCCTCACATTCTGTCCTGCGACAAGCATGCAGAAGAAAATCTTCCCCCAACTCCAAGTTTCTACACTGCAAAAAGTGAGAATGAGGGGGTCAACCAGCTTTCCCACCAATGCTGGGTTCCTTGACAGGAGACCTGTACTTGCTTTAACCCTCAGGAAGCATTATGACTGCCTAAAGGGAGAAATATTACCAACAACAGACAAAGACAAAGAAGAAAAGTAAAACTACCATCCCCAGCCCTGGAAACTCTGTAACTTGACCAAAGGAGATGTCAAGTCAGAGTGGCTATTCAGCAGGACCACATCGTAGAAGGAATATTCATTCCCAAATCCTTTGGCCCAAATCCCTGGCCAGCCTTCCTACACTGCTGGGATAAACCTTTTGGGACCTCCCCAATTCCAGACAAGCAGCACTCTCATCATTTACTAGAGCTGAGGTCAACCAGGATTTAAGGAGCCACCAAGAGCACCCCCAAAAAAGCAGCAAACCAGTGATAAATACTTGCTAAGCAAATACATCCATTTTTTTCCAGAACGAGAAAATGGGAATAAATAAGTAATTCTTCAAAGCAAAGGCACAGGCATATACCCACAAGAAACAACAGCAAACAAGAAATCATAACCTCCCCAAAAGGACAAAGCAAAAACACCATGACTGACCATAACAAGATGTTAATTCATGAGTTCTCGGAACAAGAATTCAAAACAACAGTTTTAAGGAAACTCAGTGATCTCCAAGGTAGCACAAAAAAGAAATTCAGAAATATACCAGATAAATTTAACAACAAGTTTAAAATAATTTTTTAAAACTCAAACAAATCTTGGAACTGAGAAATACATTTGCTGAACTGAAGAACTCATTAGAGGCTCTCAACAGCAGAATGGACCAAGTAGAGGAGAAAAATTCAGTGAAATCTAAGATTGGCTATTTGAAAATACAAAAAGGAGAAAAAAGAAGAAAGAATGAAAAGGAATAAAAATTACCTTCAAGATATAGAAAATTATTTTAAAGAACCAAATCTAAAAATTATTGGTGTTCAAGAGAGAGCTGAGGAAAAGAAAGGGGTAGAAAACTTACCCAAAGAAATAATAACAGAAAACTTTCCAAAACTTCTGAAAGATGTCAATATCCAGGTAAAAGAAATTCTGAGAACACCAAAAAGATTCAACCCAAGTAAGACTACATAAGACATATAATAATGAAGCTCTCAAAGGTCAAGGACAAAGAGAATCCTAAAAGAAGCAAGAGAAAAGAAGCAAATAACATATTAAAAAGCTCCAATTTGCCTAGCAACAGACTTTTCAATGAAAATAATACAGGCCAGGAGGCAATAGAATGAGATTTTCAAAGTGTTGAAAGAAGACAACTTCCATTCAAGAATATTGTATCCATCAAAATTATCCTTCAAATATGAAGGAGATATAAAGTCTTCTCCAGACAAAATAAAGCTGAGAGAATTCACAACTACCAGACCCATCTTATAAAAAATGCTAAAGGGAGTTCTTCAATCTGAAAAAAAATAAAACACCAACGTGCAAAATAAAAAAAAACTTTTCCAGGTATAAAACGCCTTGGTAAAATTAAGTACATGAAGAAACCCAAAATACTCTATATTGCAACTGTGGTGTGCAATTTGCTCATAAATCTATTATGAAGTCCAAAGACAAGTCTATCAAAAATAAAAATATTACAGCAACCTGTTAAGAGATTGGTAATATAAAATACATAAATTGAGACAACTTAGTCAAAATGTGGGGGAGAAGTTAAAGTGTAGAATTGTGTGTGTGTGTGTGTGTGTGTGTGTGTGTGTTTCCTTTGTTTCTATTCTTTTATTTGGGATTAAAGATAAATTATCATCTCTTTAAAACAACTTGTTATATCTATACAATGTTCTTTGTAAGCCTAATAGTAACCACATCACAAAAACATGTAATAGATTCACTAAAAGTCAAAAGCAATAAATCAGAACATATTATCATAAAAAATTACTTAACCACAAAGGAAAACAGTAAGAAATAAAGAAAAGAAGGACTCAAAACAATCAGAAAACAGGCATCAAAATGGTCATAGTAAGATCTTACTTATAAACAATAACACTGAGTGTAAATGGTCTCAATTCTTCAATTAAAACCCATAGAGTGGCTGAATGAGTAAAGAAACAAGACTCAATGATACGCTGCTCCCAAGAAACCCTAAAGACACACACAGCCTGAAAGTGAATGGAGTGGAAAAATATATTCCATGTAACTGGAAGCCAAAAAAGAGCAGGAGTAGCTATACTTAGATAAAATAGACTATAAATCTAAGATTGCAAAAAGAGACAAAGTCACTATATAATAATAAAGAGGTCAATTCAGCAAGAGCATGTAGCAACTATAAATATCTGTGCATCCAACAACAGAACTCCCAGATATATAAAGCAAACATTAACTAAAGTATAGATCTCTAGGGAGAGATAAACTGTAATACAATAACAGTAAGGGACTTTAAACAACACACAAAATGTAATAGGCCTATCTGGCATTTACAGAACATGTTGCCCAACTGCCGCAGAATACACATTGTTTTCATCAATATTGGAGCATTCTCCAGGATAGACCATATCTTAGGCTACCAAACAAATCTTAACAAATGCAAAACATAGAAATCATATCAAGTATAATTTGTAACTTAAATAGAATAAAACTATAAATCAATTAACAAAAGGAAAACCTCAAAAAATACACAAACACATAGATGTTACCACGTTCCTAAACAACCAATGGGTCAATAAAGAAATTAAGAATGACACTTAAAAATTTCTTCAAACAAATGAAAATGGGAATACAACATACCAAAGTTTATGGAATATGGCAAAGGCATTAAGAAGAAAATTTATAGCAATAAACGCCAATGTTAAGGAAAAAAGTAGAAAGACTTCAAATAACCTAATGATGAACCTCAAGGAACTACAAAAGGAAAAAGAAATCAAACCCAAAATAAGTAGAAGAAAAGAAATAATGAAGATTAAAGCAGAAATACATGATATTGAGACTAAGAAATGTGCAGAAAATCAACAAAGAAAAAGTTGATGTTTTGAAAAGATAAACAACATTGATAAGCCTTTAGACTAAGAAAAAAGAGAAAAACCCAGATAAATAAAATCAGAAGCTAAAAAGCAGAAATAACAACTGAGACCTCAGAATACAAAGAATTACTAGAGACTACTATGAACAACAATAGTCAACAAATTGGAATACCTAGAAGAAATAGATAAATTCCTGGACACACTCAACCTACCAAGATTGAACCATGGAGAAATAGAAAACATCAGCAAACCAATAATAAGTAACAAGATCAAGGTGTAATAGAAAGTCTCCCAACAAAGTTAAACCCAGGACCTGATGGTTTCACTGCTGGATTTTACTGAACATTTAAAGATCTAATACCAATCCTACTCAAATCCTTCAAAAGTAGAAGAGAAGGGAGTGCTTCCAAATGCATTCTACAAGGCCAGCATTACCTTGATATCAAAACCAGACAGAGACACAGCAAAAAACGAAAACTACACACCCATATGACTGATGAACATAGATGTAAAAATCTGCAACAAAATACAAACCACATTCAACAACACCTTTAAAGATCATTCATGGCTAGGTGCAGTGGCTCACATATATAATTCCAACATTTTGGGAGGCTGAGGTAGGAGGATCACTTCCATCCAGGAGTTCAAGACAAGCCTGAGCAACATAGTGAGACCTCATCTCTGTAAAAGATAAAGAACAATAGCCAGGCATGGTGGCACACACCTGTGGTTCCAGCTACTAGGGAAGCTGAGGGGGAAGGATTGCTTGAGCCCAGGAGGCCAAAGCTGCAGTGAGCCAAAATCACACCATTGCACTCCAGCCTGGGTGACAGAATGAGACTCTGTCTCAAAAAAAAAGAATCAATCACCATAATCAAGTAAGATCCATCATCCCAGGAACATAAAGATGGTTCAATGTTTACAAATCAATAAACATGATATATCATATTAACAGAATCAGGAAGAAAAACCATGTTTATTTCAATAGCTGCTGAAAAAGCATTTGATAAACTTCAACATCCTTTACGATAAAAACCCTCATCAAAATAGGTATAGATGGAACATAACTCAAAATTATAAAGATCATCTATAACAAACCCAAGCTAACATTATACTGAATGGGGAAAAATTGAAGGTCTTTCCTCCAAGGACTGGAACAAGACAAGGATGTCAACTTTCACCACTTTTATTAAACATAACACTGGAAGTCCTGGCCAGAAAAATTAGGTAACAAAAAGAAATAAAGGGAATCCAAATTGTAAAGGAAGAAGTCTAATTAGCCTTGTTCACAGATAATATAACCTTATACCTAGAAAAACCTAGAGTCAACCCCCAAGAAAACTGTTAGAACTGATGAACAAATTCAATAAAGTTGCAGGATACAAAATCAATATACAAAAAACAGTACCAATTATATACCATTTCACTTAACTGAAAAAGAAATCAAGAAAACCATCCCATTTAAAACATAAACAGTGTTGTGTTTAATAAAAGTGGTGACAGTAGGCATCCTTGTCTTGTTCCATTCCTTGGACAAAAGGCCTTCAGTTTTTCCCCATTCAGTATAGTGTTAGCTGTGGGTTTGTTATAAATGACCTTTATTATTTTGAGGTATGTATGACCATACTGCCAAAAGCAATCTACAAACTCAATGCAATTCCCATAAAAATACTAACATCATTCTTCACAGAACTAGAAAAAACAATCCTAAAATTCATGTGGAATGAAAAAAGAGCCCACATAGCCAAAGCAAGACTAAGCAAAAAGAAGAAATCTGGAAGCATCACATCGCCTGACTTCCAACTATACTATAAGGCTATAGTCACCAAAATAGCGTGGTACTGGTATAAAAACAGGCATATAGACCACCAGTACAAAATGGAGAACCCAGAAATAAAGCCAAATACTTATAGTCAACTGATCTTTGACAAAGCAAAGAAAAACATAAAGTGGGGAAAGGACACCCTATTCAACAAATGGTGCTGGGATAATTGGCAAGCCTCATGTAAGAGAATGTAACTGGATCCTCATCTTTCACCTTATACAAAAATCAACTCAAGATGGATCAAAGACTTAAATCTAAGGCCTGAAACCGTAAAGATTCTAGAAGATAACATGGAAAAACCCTTCTAGACATTGGCTTAGGCAAAGACTTCATAACCAAGAACCCAAAAGCAAATGCAACAAAAACAAAGATAAATAGATGGGACTCAATTAAACTAAAAACCTTCTGCACAGGAAAAGAAACAATCAACAGAGTAAAGAGACAACCCACAGCATGGGAGAAAATTCTCACAATCTATACATCTGACAAAAGACTAATATCCAGAATCTACAAGGAACTGAAACAAATTAGCAGGAACAAAACAAGTAATCCCACTAAAAAGCAGGCTAAGGACATGAATAGACAATTTTCAAAAGAAGATATACAAATGGCCAATAAACATAAAAAAATGCTCAACATCACTAATGATCAGGGAAATATGATACAAAACCACAATGCAATACCACCTTACTCCTGCAAGAATGGCCATAATCAAAGAATCAAAAAATAATAGATGTTGGTGTGGATATAGTAAAAAGGGTACACTTTTACACTACTGGTGGGAATGTAAACTAGTACAACTGCTATGGAAAACAGTGTGGCAATTCCTTTAAAAATTACAAGTAGGCTGGGCGCAGTGGCTCATGCCTGTAGTCCCAGCACTTTGGGAGGCTGAGGCAGGCAGATCACAAGGTCAGGAGCTCAAGCCCAGCCTGGCCAACATGTGAAACCCCATCTCTACTAAAAATACAAAAATTAGCCAGGCGTGGTAGTGAGTTCCTGTAATCCCCAGTTACTTGGGAGGCCAAGGCAGGAGAATCATTTGAACCCAGGAGGCAGAGGTTGCAGTGAGCTGAGACCACACCATTGCTCTCCAGCCTGGGTGACAGGGCAAGACTCCATCTCAAAATAAAAAATAACATAAAATAAAATAAAATAAAAATAAACTACAAGTAGACAGTAGATCTACCATTTGATCCAGCAATCCCACGACTGGGTATCTACCCAGAGGAAAAGAAGTCATTATACAAAAAAGATATTTCCAAATGCATGTTTATAGCAGCATAATTTGCAACTGCAAAAATATGGAACCAGCCCAAATGCCCATCAATCGATGAGTGGATAAAGAAAATATAAATATATATATAAAAGTATTCCATGGAATAATGTGTGTGTATATGTAAATACGTATATATGTATATATACATATATACGTAAATACGTATATATGTATATATACATATATATGTGTGTGTATATATATGCATATATATATGTGTGTGTATATATATATACACACACACACACACATACATATACCATGGAATACCATGGAATACTACTCAGCCATAAAAAGGAATGAAATAATGTCATTCACAGCAACCTGGATAGATTTGGAGACCATTATTCTAAGTGAAGTAACTCAGGAATCGAAAACCAAACACCGTATGCTCTCACTCATAAGTGGGACCTAAGCTATGAGGATGCAAAGGCATAAGAATAATGCAATGGGTGTTGAGGACTCGGGGGAAAGGATAAGAGGGGGGTGAGGGATAAATATACATTGGGTACAGTGTACACTGCTTGGGTGATGGATGCGCCAAAATCTCAGAAATCACCACTAAAGAACCTATTCATGTAACCAAAAACCTGTTCCCCAAAAACCTATTACAATTTAAAAAAAAAAGAAACGTGCTACATATACACAGTGGAATATTATTCAGCCATTCAGCCATAAAAAGGATGGAATCCTGTCATTTGAAGCAACATGGATGAAACTGGAGGCCATTATATTAAGTGAAACAAGCCAGACATAGAAAGACAAATACCCCATATTCTAATTTACAAGTGGAAGCTAAACAATGTGTACACATGGACTTAGAGTGAGGAATGACTTGGAAGGGTCAGTGGGTAGGCAGGGAGGTAGATGATGAGAGATTATTTAATGGGTATGTTAACATACATTATTTGAGTGATGGAGAACTTAAAAGTCCTGACTTCACCACTATGCAGTCTATGCATATAACAATATTACACTTGTACCCCATAAATTTATAAAAATAAAAAAATTAAAAATAAAAATAAAAATTAGAAATCCTGTGTTCTACATATTCCATAACCATTATTCTCTACCCACCATCCTATTTCACCAATTGCCATGTTAAATTTCCTTCTCTGAAAACAGACTACTTCTCAGATTTCTTGGTCACTACCCTTGTGTGGATATAACAATTACTTCCACAGTTCTCCTTCGCACATCTGCATCATTATGAGAAATTCTTTAAGTAATTTATAACAAGAGAAGGTAAAGTCATTCATTGACTACATTTCACATTTATATAGTATTAGAAATGTGGTCCAGCAGACTTTAATATATTTTAGAATACTGAAAGCTTAAGTGAAGAGTGAAGCAGAAATGATGTGCACGGGCTGAGACAAAAATGGTGGTGGCAAGATGGCAAAATAGAAGTCTACACTGTTCGTCCCCTCTGTTGGAACACCAAATTTTAACAACTATCTACACACAGGAAAGCACCATCAGAAGAACCAAAAATCAGGTGAGCAATCGCAGTTCCTCGTTTTAACTTCATATTGCCAAAAGAGGCATTGAGGAGGGCAGAAGAGACAGTATTAAATGCTGATGCTATTCATCCGCTATCACAGTGCAGCAGCCATGTGGGGTGGAGAAAGAATCTGTGCACTTTGGGGAGGGAGAGCACAACAGTGGGGGGACTTTACAATGAACCCAGCGCTGCCCTGTCACAGCAGAGAATAAAGCCATGCTGGGCTCAGCCAGCACCCACACATGGAGGGAGCATTTGCACCAGCCCTTGCCAGAGGGGAAGTGACCATACTAGTGGCCGAGCTTGAGTTTCTTGGCAATCCTCAACATCATGGACTGAAGGGCTCTGGGGTCCCAGGTACACTTGAAAGGCAGTCTAGGACACATGGACTGCAATTTCTAGACTATTTGTAGGGCTAGGGTTGGGCTTAAAGCCAGTAAACTTGGGTGGCACGTGACCTACGAAGATACCACCTGGTATGGCAAAGGGAATGCTTGTGCCACCCTTCCCCCAACCCCAGGCAATGCAGCTCAGCAACGAAAGTGACTCCCTCCTGCTTAAGGAGAAGAGAGCAAAGAGTAAAGAGGACTTTGTCTTGCATCTTGGATACTAGCTCAGGTACAGTAGGATAGGGCACCAAGGAGAGTCATGAGGCCAACTATTCCAGGCCCTCACTCCTGGACATTTCTAATCACATCCTGGGCCAAAAGGGAGCATGCTGCCTTGAAGTGAAGGACCCAGTACTAGCAGGAGTCATCACCTCCTGAATAAAGAGCCCTGGGCCCTGAATAACCACCAGTGATATGCACAGAGTACACTGTGGGCCTGGGCTCTGAGACATGGGGGCTTCAAGGGTGACTCAGGACATTCCAAGCTATAGAGGTTATGGTGAAAGACTCCTTCTGTTTGAGAAAATAAGGGGGAAACGTAAAGGTGACTTTGTCCTGCACCCTAGGTATCAGCTCAACCACAGTGGGGTAGAACAACGAGCAGGCTCTTGGGGTCCCTGAGCCCAGGCTGAGACTTCTGGACAATATTTCTGGACCTTACCTGGGCCAGAGGGGAACCCACTGCCCTGAAGGGTGAGTCCCAGGCCTGGAAGCATTCACCACAAGCTGAAGGAAGAGACCATGAGCTTTAAGTCAGCATCAACGGTGTGTACAGGCAGAAGCCCTCATGACCCATTTGTGGTGGTGGCCACAGGGAGGGGCTTCTCTGCCTATGCAAGGCAGAGTGGGAAGAACTTTGTATCATGGGTTGAGTTCCAGCTTAGCCATAGCAGAAAACATCAGGTAAAATGCTAAGGTTTTTACTCTCATCCCTGCCTCCCAGCCAGCATCTCTGAACACACTTAGGGCTTGGGGGAACACACCACCCTGAAGGAAAGGGCCTTGGGAAAGGCCCAGTCCTGTGCTGGCTTCAAGTCTGACCTGGTGCAGTCTCAATGGTGGTGACCACAGGGGTGCTTGCACAACACACCCCCAGTTCCAGATGGCTCAGCAGAGAGAGAGAGACTCTGTTCCTTTGAGAGAAAGTAAGGGAAAAAAAGAAAAGTTCCTGCCTGGTAATCCAGAGAATCCTTCTGGATCTTATCCAAGACCATCAAGGTGATACCTCTAAGAGTCTGCAAAAAATACAGCATTATTGGGCTTGGGGCCCAAGTCCCTTCAAATACTTTAAAAGTCTTCACAAGAAGGACAGACACAAACAAGCTCAGACTGTGAAGACTACAATAAATATCTAACTCTTCAAAATCCAGACCCTTATAAACATCTACAAGCTTCAACACCATCTAAGAAAACATAACCTCACCAAATGAACCAAATAAGGCATGAAGAACCAATCCTGGAGAAACAGAGATATATGACTTTTCAGAAAGAGAACTCAAATAGCTGTTTTCAGAAAACTCAAATTCAAGATAATACAGAGAAGGAATTCAGAATTCTATCAGATAAATTTAACAAAGAGATTAAAATATTTTAAAAGAATCAAGCAGAAATTCTGGAATTGAAAAATGCAATTGACATGCTGAAGAATGCATCAGACTCTCTTAATAGCAGAATTGATCAAGCAAGAGAAACAATTATTGAGCTTAAAGACAGGCTATTTGGGTTTTTTTTTCTTTTCTTTTTTTTTTATTATGCTTTAAGTTCTAGGGTACATGTGCACAACATGCAGGTTTGTTACATATGTACACATGTGCCATGTTGATTTGCTGCACCCATTAACTCGTCATTTACATTAGGTATTTGTCCAATGCTATCCCTCCCCCATCCCCCTATTTGAAAATACACAGACAGAGGAGACAAAAGAAAAAAAAAACACACAATGAAGCACACGTACAAGATCTAGAAAACAGCCTCATGAGGGCACTTTAAGAGTTATTGGCCTTGAACAGGAGAAAGAGATGGGGTAGATAGTTTATTCAAAGGGATAATATCAAACAACTTCCCAAACCTAGAGAAATATATCAACATTCCAGTACAAGGTTATAGACCAGCAAGAAAATATAACCCAAAGAAGACTACCTCAAGGTACGTAACAATCAGACTCCCAAAGATAAAGGATAAGGAAAGGATCCTAAAAGCAGCAAGAGAAAAGAAACAAATAACATACAATAGACCTCAAATATGTCTGGCAGCAGACTTTCAGTGGAAAACTTACAGGCCAGGAGAAAGTGGCATACCATATTTAATGATCTGAAGGAAAAAACCTTTTACCCTAGAATAGTATAGCTGGCAAAAATATTCTTTAAGCATTGCAGAGAAATAAAGACCTTTCCATATAAACAAAAGTTGAGGGATTTTATCAACACCAGACCTGTCCCATAAGAGATGCTAAAGGAAATTCTTTTATCTGAAAGGAAAGGATGTTAGCGAGCAATGAGAAATCATCTGAAGGTACAAAACTCACTGGTAATAGTAAGCACACAAGAAAACACAGAATCATGTAACACCATAACTGTGGTGTGTAAACTACTCTTGACTTAAATAAAAAGACTCAGTGATAAAACAAACAAAAATAATAACTATACCAGCTTTTTCAAGACACAGTACAAAAAGAAAACAATTAACAAACAAGTGGATGAAATTAAAGCGTAGAGTTTTTATGAGTTTTCTTTCCACGTGTATTCTGTTCATGCAATCAGTGTTAAGTTGTCATTAGTTTAAAGTTGTGGGTTATAAGATAGTACTTGCAAGCCTCATGGTAACCTCAAATCAAAAAACAAGCAAGGAATACACAAAAAATAAAAAGCAAGAAATTAAAGCAAACCACCAGACAAAGTCACCTTCACTAAAAAAAAAAAAAAGACAGAAGGAAGAAAGATAAGGCTGTAAAACAACCAGAAAACAAATTTAAAAAATGGCAGGAGCAAGTCCCTACTTATGAATAATAACACTGAATGTAAATGGACTAAACTTTCTAATCAAAAGATATGTGATGGCTGAATGGATTAAAAAAAAAACAAGAACCAATAATTTGTTGCCTACAAGAAACATACTTTACCTATAAAGAGACACATAGACAGAAAATATAGGAATGGAAAAAGATATTCCATGCCAGTGGAAACCAAAAAAAAAGCAGGAGTAACTCTACTTATACCAGACAAAATAGATTTCAACACAAAAACTGTAAGAAGAGACAAAAAAGGTCATTATATAATGACAAAGAGGTCAATTCAGCAAGAGGATATAATGATTGTAAATATATATGCAGTCAACACTGGAACACCCAGATATGTAAAGCAAATATTATTAGAGCTAAAGAGAAAGATAGATATCAATACAATAATAGCTGGAGACTTAAACACCCTACGGTTTTTTTTTTTTTTGGAGACAGCGTCTTGCTCTGTCACCCAGGCTGGTGTGCAGTAGTGCAATCTCGGCTCACTGCAACCTCTGCCTCCCAGGTTCAAGCAATTCTCCTGTGTCAGCCTCCCGAGTAGCTGGGACTACGGGCGCCTGCCACCATGCCCAGCTAATTTTTTCGTATTTTTTAGTAGAGACAGGGTTTCACCGTGTTGTCCAGGCTGGTTTTGAACTCCTGAGCTCAGGCAATCTGCCTGCTTCAACCTCCCAAAGTGCTAGGATTACAGGCGTGAGCCACTGCCCCTGGCCAAACACCCTACTTTTAGCATTGGAAAGATCTCTGAGATAGAAAATCAACAAAGAAACATCAAACTTAATCTGTACTACAGAACAAATGGAACTAACAGATATTTATAGAACATTTCATCCAACGGTTGCAGAATACATATTTTTCTCTGCAGTGCATGAATCATTTTCAAGGATATACCATATGTTAGGTCACAAAACAAGTCTTAAAACATTCAAATAAAACTGAAATAATATCAAGCATCTTCCCTGACAACAATGAAATAAAACCACAAATCAATAACAAAAGGAATTTTGGAAACTATGCAAACACATGGAAATTAAAAAATATGCTCCTGAATGACCAATCAGTCAATGAAGAAATTAAGAAGGGAACTGAAAAAATTCATGAAAGAAATAATAATGAAAACACAATATACCAAAACCTATGGGATACAGCAAAAACAGTACTAAGAGGAAACTTCATAGCTACAAGTGCCTGCATCAAAAAAGAAGAAAAATTTCACATAAATAACCTAATGAAGCAACAAAAAAACTAGAAAAGTAACAGCAAACCAAACCCAAAATTAGTAGAAGAAATAATAAAGATCAGAGCAGACATAAATGAATTTCTGATGAAGAAAACAATACAAAAGATCAATGAAACAAAAAGTTGGTGTTTTGAAAAGATAAATAAAATTGACAAACCTTTAGTCAGACTATGAAAAGAAGAGAAAGACTGAAATAAATAAAAATCAGATATGAAAAAGGAGATATTACAACTGATACCACAGAAATTCAAAGAATCATTAGTGGCTACTATGAGCAACTATACATCAATGAATTGAAAAATCTAAAAGAAATAAATTTCTAGACCCATATAACCTACCAAAATTGAAACATGAAAAAATCCAAAACCTGAACTGACCAACAAAAAGTAACGAGATCAAAGCCATAATAAAAAGTCTCCCAGTAAGGAAAGCCCAGGACCCAGTGGCTTCACTGCTGAATTTTACCAAACATTTAAAGAAATAATACCAACCCTATTAAAACCATCCCAAAAATACTAGAGGAGGGAATACTTCCAAACTCATTCTACAAGACCAGCATTACCCTGATATCAAATCTAGACAAAAGCTCTTCAAAAGAAAGGCCTATATGCCACTATTTCTGGTGACTATTGATGCAAGAATTCTCAACAAAACTCTAACAAAACACATTCACCAATACATTAAAAGGATCATTCATCATGACCAAGTGGGATTCACAATATGCAAATCAATCAATGTGATACATCATATTAACAGACTGAAAGACAAAAACCATGTGATCATTTCAATTGACGCTGAAAAGGCATTTGATAAAGTTCAACATCCCTTCATGATAAAAATCCTCTAAAAACTGGCTACAGAAGAAACATACCTCAACGATAATAAAAGCCACATATGATAAACCCACAGCCAGTTTCACTCTGAATGGGAAAAAACTGAAAGCCTTTTCTCTAAGATCTGGAACATGGTAAGAATGCCCACTGTCATGACTGTTGTTCAGCATAGTACTGGAAGTTCTCACTAGAGCAATCAGATAAGAGAAAGAAATAAAGGGCATCCAAATTGGAAAGGAACAAGTCAAATTATCCTTGTTTGCAGATGGTATGGTATGATCTTATATTTGGAAAAATCTAAAGACTGGCCAAAAAAAAAAAAAACTCTTAGAACTGATAAATTCAGTAAAGTTACAGGATACAAATCAAAATACAAAAATCAGTAACATTTCTATATACCAACAGTGAATAATCTGAAAAAGAAATCAAACAAGTAATCCCATTTACAATAGCCACAAATTAAACACCTACGTATTAACCAAAGAAGTGAAAGATCTCTACAAGGATAACTATAAAACACTGATGAAAGAAATTGAAATGGAGAGATATTCCATGTTCATAGATGGAGGAGTCAATATTGTTAAAATGTCCATAGTACCCAAAGCAATGTACAGATTCAGTGTAATCCCTGTCAAAATATCAATGATATTCTTCACAGAAATATAAAACAAATCCTAACATTTATATGAAATCGCAAAAGCCCCAGAATAGCCAAAGCTATCCTGAGCAAAAGAAATAAAACTGAAGAAATTATATTATTTGACTTTAAATTATACTACAGAGCTACAGTAAACAAAACAGCATGGTAGTTGCAAAAAAGCCGACACATAGACCAATGGAACAGAAGAGAACCCAGAAAAAATTCCACACACCTACGATGAACTCATTTTCAAGAAAGGTGCCAAGAACATACAGTGGGGGAAAAGACAGTCTCTTCAATAAATGTTGCTGGGAAACTGGATAGCTATATGCAGATGAATGAATCTTGAACCCTCTCTCACCTTACACAAAAATCATATCAAAATGGATTAAAGACTTAAATCTACGACCTCAAATGATGACACTACTCCAAGAAAACATTGGAGAAACTCTCTAGCATATTGGTCTGTGCAAAAATTTCTTGAGTAATACTCCACAAGTATAGGTAACCAAAAAATAAATGGACCCATGGGATAACACCAAGTTAAAAAGCTTCTGCACAGCAAAGAAAACAATCTACAAAGTGAAGAGACAACCCACAAAATGAGAAAAAATATTTCCAAACTACCCATCTGATGAGGGATTAACAATCAGAATATATAAGGAGCTCAAACAACTCCACAGGAAAAAAAATCTAATAATCCAATTTAAAAATGGGTAAAAGATTCAAATAGACATTTCTCAAAACAAGACATACAAATGGCAAATAGGCATATAAAAAGGCCCTCAACATCACTGATCATCTGAGAAATGCAAATCAAAACTACAATGAAATATCATCTTGCCCCAGTTAAAATGACTTTTATTCAAGAGCCAGGCAATAACACATGCTGGGGATGATGTGGAGAAAAGGGAACCCTCATACACTGTTGGTGAGAATGTGAATTAGTAAAACCACTATGGAAAATAGTTTGAGGGTTGCTCAAAAAACTAAAAATAGAGCTACCATACAATCCAGCAATCCTATTGATATGTATATATCCCAAAAATAGGAAATCAGAATATCAAAGAGACATCTGCACTCCCATGTTAGTTGCAGGTCTGTTTTCAGTAGCCAAGATTTGGAAGCAACCTCTGTGTCCATCAGCGTATGACTGGAAAAAGAAAACGTAATACTCATACACGATGGAGTACTATTTAGTCATAAAAAAGGAGATTGTGTCATTTGCAACAACATAGATGGAACTGGAAGTCATTATGTTAAATGAAATAGGCCAGGCATAGAAAGACAAACATTGCATGTTTTCACTTATTCGTGGGGGTTAAAAATCAAAACAATTGAACTCATGGAGATAGAGAATAGAAGGATGGTTACCAGAGGCTTGGAGTGTGAGAAGGAGGTGGGGATGGTTAATGGGTACAAAAAATGTAGTTGGAAAGAATGAATAAGACTTAGTATTTGATAGCACAACAGGGGGACAATAGTCAATAGTGATTTAATTGTACATTTAAGAATAACTAAAAAAGTATAACTGGATTATTTGCAACACAAAGGATAAGTGCTTAAGGAGGATACCAAATTTTCCATGATATGATTATTACACATTGTATGCCTGTACCAAAATATCTCATGTACCCCATAAATATATACACCTACTATGTACCCACAAAAATAAAAATTTTTTTAAATGTTTTAAAGAATGGGTAAGAGTCTAACCTACCAAATGAGCACCAAAGTTTCTACGCATTAAACAAGAAAACCTTGTTGTATCCTAGATCATATATTGAAGTTCATGCAAAAACCATTGCTCTCTAGAGCAGAATTAGAGACAAAACACCTGAAGAAACACAAGGAAGCAAAACCAGAAACTGCTGCAACATCCTCAAGCCATCTAAGAAGCTCCAGCGTTTTTTCAATGTGGTTCTAACAGTGTGTGATTAGGATGCTGCAAAATTCTCACACTTGGTCAGACTACTCAGTTCTTCAACATGACAATTTACTATTTTTAGTTTTTTTGTACCAATGTTCTATTCCTATTTGGCATGATACCTAAAGGAAAACTATTCCTAAACTGAACATATATGACAGCCCTGATCTTATATTTGACACCTGTGTAAGACTACTCCTTCTCTAACTGATCAAACAGCAAATCTCCTGTATGATTTCTGCTTCCTCACCTAGTAAGGAAGAAATATCAAGCAACCAACATTATTGAAATTTAGTATTTTTCCTCAATCATATATCTTAATTTCTTAAGTGGTTAATAAAAGTTCACTTCTAATGTATTTGACTTTATTGTCTGTAGTTTGAATTTGTAAGCTCTCTAACAATGGCAAAGAGAATAATAAAATACAAGAGGAAACAAATTTTCCTTTATCCTTGCATTTCTATTTCTATTTACTCTATTTGGTATAATGAACTGGGACACACACATTACATAATTGTAGAAAATACCACAAAATGCATTTACAATATATTTGAAAACTAATTTACCGTTAGTTTAATAAAGTTAAATATTTGGCCTAGAAATGTCTTTTCAGATGTTTAAATTTTATGTTTTTTCATGGCATCCTTTTGGTTTTGACACCTAATATGATAATTTAGAATATGGCATAATTTTATTTTTAAAGCATAGCTGCTACGAATTATTAATAGTAAAAACATATTATATAACATTTAAATAGCTCTTTGATTTCTATCCTAACATAATAAGCCTTATTAGGTGTATGCCATTTTCAAACACTAAAATTTTTCCAACCTCTTTGTCCTTCAACTTTTGTAGTTCATTTTCCAGCACCAACTTCTCTTCTGATAACAACTGAAAATCACACTGCATCTGTTTGTATTCCTAAAAACAAATAATTTTAGTAATAATGAAGAGTAAAACTCTCAATGTAGAAAGGTTATTCAGATATTTAATTATTAAGGTAAGAAAGTCTTCATTAACTCATGAAAAGAATGAAACATTGATATCAGTCTGTAGAGTGACACAATAATTGGAGCTGAAAGGCATAAAAGATCTACACGTGTCAAGGACTGGAACTATTCAGATGACTGTAGGATATTATAGTTTAGTATTTCAGAAGTGAAGAGTTTCTGAGTGATAATGAGAGTAAAATGAACAAAATAGACAAGGCTTTCCAGAAAGTTCACATATGCATACAAATCTCTTAAATAAACTAAGTAAGGATTGGATCTTTATATAGGATTATGTATCCTGACAATTTCTAGAATCTGTTAAGAACTCAAGGACAAAGTGTAATTTCAAATTGAGAGTACTATACTTACAGCATCTAACAAAACTTGATCATTTACAGCTCTGAAAAATAAACCAAAAAAAGTGTGTTTATAATTGTACATTTATATTTTAATTTATGAAACACACACATTTTCTTTTTTTTTCTTTTGGTATTCAGTAATTAGTTGCTGCTGTTTTATTCTGCCCTCCCTTGCATCCCACTTTTTCTTTTTCTTTTTATTTATTTTATTATTATTATACTTTAAGTTTTAGGGTACATGTACACAACGTGCAGGTTTGTTACATATGTAACAAACATGTGCCATGTTGGTGTGCTGCACCCATTAACTCGTCATTTAGCATTAGGTATATCTCCTAATGCTATCCCTCCCCCCTCCCCCCACCCCATAACAGTCCCCGGTGTGTGATGTTCCCCTTCCTGTGTCCATGTGTTCTCATTGTTCAATTCCCACCTAACACACACATTTTCTTTGTAAAGATTTTAATACAGATGAAGTTTAACGGACACTTTGATTAGCACTTCAAAAATTTAATACTCTCCCTAGAAATATTGGATCACTGTTACCTTTCCAGGACTTGTTCTAGGCATTTACACAATACTGCATGTAACTTTTCCATTCTGTAATTTTTATTAGTGGGTTGGATTTCAGTTTTCTTTTTCACATAAATGACATCACTGTATATATTGTTCCAAACTTACTTTTTCACTTAACTTAATGTCTGAGATTTCTTCATGTCCATAAACATAGATCTTTCCCAGTTTTTTTAAGCGCTAATGATTATTCCATAGCAGGAGTTGTAAAGAACTAAATAGTAAGTATCTTAGATTCTGCAAGCCTGATGGTCTCTGTCACTATTCTTCAATGCGTATGGCTGTATTCCAATTAAACTTTATTTACAAAAATAAGTTTCAGGTTAGGTTTGACATTGTTCCACAGTTTGCTGACACAGTTTGGTGACATTGTTCCACAGTATGGATAGACCATAGATTATTTTCAACAAATAATCTATGTTTATCTATGTTACTGCCAAATAACATTCCATTATATGGATATCCCACATTTTATTTATCCAACACTTTAAGGACATTTTGTTTGTTTCCACTTTTCTGCCATTATGAATAATGCTATTATGAACATTTATGTACAAGTTTTTGTGTGAACATGTGTTTTCATTTATCTCATGTATAAACCTAGACACAGAATTTCTGAATCATATGCAGACTCTGTATTTAACATTTTGAGGAACCGGCAAACTTTTCCAAAGCAGATACATAATTTAAATTCCCATTATGAGGTTCCCAATCTCTCTACATACTTGCCAACAAATCATTGCGTTGTCTATTTGAATATAGCCATCCTAGTGGGTGTAAAGTGGTATCTCATTGTAGTTTTGATTTGCAATTAAAACTAGTGACAGCCAGGCCCAGTGGCTCATGCATGTAATCCCAGCACTTTGGGAGACCGAGGCAGGAAGATCAACTGAGGTCAGGAGTTTGAGACCAGCCTGGCCAACATGGTGAAACCCCATCTCTACGAAAAATACAAAAATTAGCCGGGTGTGGTGGCAGGTGCCTGTAGTCCCAGCAACTTGGGAGGCTGAGGCACAAGAATTGCTTGAACCCAGGAGGTGGAGGTTGCAGTGAGCTGAGATCATGTCACTGCACTCCAGCCTGGACAACAGAGCGAGACTCCATCTCAAAAAAAAAACAAAAAAAATCTAGTAACTAACAATGTTAAGTATCTTTTCATGTGCTTATTGGGCATTTCTATATCTTCTTTGGGGAAATATCTATTCAGATCCTTTGCCTATTTTTAATTGAATTATTTATCTTTTTATTATTGAGGTATAAGAGTTCTTTATATATTCTTCTAAGTACTTTAGCAGATATATGATTTGTGAATATTTTTCATATTCTATGAGTGGTTTTTTTTCATGTTTTTGATAGTATCATTTGCAGCACAAGAGTTTTTAATTTGGATAAAGTTGATCTAACTTTTTCTTTTGTTGATTGTACTTCTGATGTCATATTTAAGAAACCACTGCCTAACCCAATGTCACAAAGATTTACTCCTATGCTTCTTCTAAAATGCCTATAGTTTTAGCTCTTAAATTTAGTTCTTTGATAATTTTGACATTAGTGCATGGCAAAAATAAGTAATCCAAGGCCAGGCACGGTGGCTCACGCCTGTAATCCCAGCACTTTGGGAGGCGAGGTGGGCGGATCACGAGGTCAGGAGATCCAGACCATCCTGGCTAACACAGTGAAACCCCGCCTCTACAAAAAAAAAAAATTAGCCGGGTGTGGTGGCAGGCGCCTGTAGTCCCAGCTACTCGGAAGGCTGAGGCAGAAGAATGGCGTGAACCCGGGAGGCAGAGCTTGCAGTGAGCCAAGATTGTGCCACTGCACTCCAGCCTGAGCGACAGAGCGAGACTTCACCTCAAAAAAAAATAAAAATAAAAATAAGTAATCCAGCCTCGTTCTTTTGCATGGGGATAACCAGCTGCCCAAGTACCATTTATTAAAAAGACTTTTCTTTCCCCCATTGAATCATCTTACCTTGAAAATCAATTGTTCATAAATGTAAGGGTTTATTTGTGGACTTTCAACTCTATTCCATTGCTCTATATGTCTAGCCTTATGCCAGTAACACTTTGCCTTGGTTACTGTAGCTTTGTATTAAGTTTTAAAATCAGTTAAGTATGAGTCTTCTAACTTTGTTCTTAAGATTGCTTTGGCTATTCTAGCTTCCTTGCACTTCCACATGAGTTTTAGAATCAGCTTGTCAGTTTTTTAAAAATGTCAGCTGGAATTTTGAAAGTAATTACATTGAATCTGCAGGACAATTTGGGAAGTATTGCTATCTTAAGATTATTAAAGCCAGGTGTGGTGGCTCACACCTGTAATCACAGAACTTTGGGAGGCCAAGGCAGGAGGATCACTTGAAGCCTGGAGTTCAAGACGAGCCTAGGCAACACAGCAAGACCCTGTCCCTACAAAAAAAATTTTTTAATTGCCAGGCATGGTGGTTCATGCCTGTAGTCCTAGCTGCTTAGAAGGCTGAGGCAGGAAGATGCCTTGGGCCTAGGAGTTAGCAGCTGAAGTGAGCTATGATTACATCACTGCACACCAGCCTGGGTGACAGAGTGAGACCCTGTTTCTTAAAAAGAAAATAAAAAATATTAAGTTTAACAGTCTATGAAGATGAGATATCTATCCATTTCTGTAGGTGTTCTTTAAGTTCTTTCAATGATGTTTTGTAGTTTCAGTGCCCAAGTCTTGCATTTCTTTTAAATTCAGGTATGATCTCTTTGGTGCTATTATAAATGGAATTGTTTTCTTTATTTCACTTTTGAAATGTTCATAGTTAGTGTATTTGTTTCCTAGGGCTGTAGTAATAAAAGACCACATATGGGTGATTTAAAACAACAAGAATTTATTTTCTCACAGCCTGATGACTTGAAATCCAAAATTAAAGTGTTGGCACAGCCATGCTCCCTCTGAAATATCTGGGGAAGGAAACCACCATGCCTATTCTAGCCACTGTTAGTCCCTGGCATTCTTTGGATTGTGGCAGAATAAATCCAGTCTCTGTCTCTATCTTTACATTAGCAGTATTTCCTCCATGTTTATCTGTCTTTTCCAATTCCTATAAGGACATTAGTCACGTTGGATTAAGGGCCCATCCTACTCCAGTATGACCTCATCTCAACTAATAATATCGGGAATAACCCTGTTTCCAAATAAGGTCACCCTGAGGTAGCAGGGGGTGAGAACTTCAACATATCTTTTGAGGGGATACAATTCAACCCATAACAGCTAGTGTATAGAAATACAAATTGTTTTTGTTTATTGATCATGTATATTGCAGCCTTGATGAATTCATTCATTACTTCCAATAGGTTTTAGCAGAACTCAGGATGTTTTTATATCTAAAATCATGTCATTTGCAAATAGAGGTAGTTTTACTTCTTCCTCACCAATGCAGACACTTTTATTTCCTTTTCTTCCATAATTGCCCTTGCTAGAACCTCCACTATAATGATGAATAGAAGTGAATGTCTTGTCTTGTTCCTGATCATAGGGAGAAATTATTCATTCTCACCACTGAGTATGATGTTGACCATGGGGTTTGTAGATGGCCTTCATCAGGTTAAGGAAGTTTCCTTCTATTCCTGGTTTGTGGAACTTTGTATCATAAAAAGATGTTGAATTTTGTCAAGTGCATTTACTGAATCTAGCGAACTGATGTAATTTTTTCTCCTTTATTTAATCAATATTACACATTATGTAAATTGATACCTGCATTTTAAATCAACCTTGCATTCCTAAAATAAATCTCACATGTTCATCATAGATAATCTTTTTTATATGCTGTTGGATTCAGTTTGCTAGTATTTTGGTAAGGATTTTCATGTTCATATTCATAACATATATTTATCTTCTTAAAATAAATATCATATTTATGTTCTTGTGATTGTCTAATTTTGGTATCAGAGTAACACTAATCTCATAGAATGAATTGAGAAGTGTGAACTCTTTAATTTTTTAGAAGAGTTTGTACAGGCCTGGTATTAACTCTTCTTTAAATATTTGACAGGATTAAAAAGTGAAGTCATCTGGCCTAAGCATTTCTTGGTGGGAATATGTTAATTACTAATTAAATCTTTTACTACTTATAAGTTCAGTCACATGTTCTTGTTCTTCTTGATACAGTTTAGTTTGGGTTTTTCTAGAGATATATATCATCTAAGTTATCTAATTTGTGGTCACATAGTTATTCATAGTATTCCCTTATTATCCATTTACCATAGATTATTGAGCCATACTCCTACTAACAAAAACAGGTTCTTTCTAGTTCTGCTACCATCGCACTGATGCAAAAAAAATTCCTTTTATATGCTTTCTTGAGCACATTGTACTCCTTTCCCGAGGGTAGATAAAAAGAGATTTGCTATATAACATGGCATACACTTTTGTTATTACTAAACTGTGCTAAATTGTCCTCGAAAGGGGGAAATTTCTATTATATTAGCATGGTAAGAGTATTCATTCCACTACCTCTCTGCCAATAGTTGATATTAGAAAACTTCTAAATTTTGTAGACAAAAAAGTCATGGCTTTGTCTTATATCTTCCCTGATCACGGTGAGATTGAGCATCTCTTAAAATGTTTATTGGCCAATTTTTTTGTCTTTCCCTTAGTTACCTCCTCTTTATATACTTTGCCTATTTTTCTTATGTGTTTTTAGGGAGTTATAGATTCTTATTAGTACTCCTTTTTTCTACTGTATGAGCACAAATCTTTTCTCCCAGTCTACTGCTTACCTTGTAACTTTGCTTCAATTTTGAACGAGGTGTTTTCAGTTTTGGGAGTTGAATTCCCTCCCTTTTTATGGTTTTATTTTCTTACATTTAGGTCTGTAATCAATGTTACTTTTTTAAATGATGTGAATTCAGAATCTGTCATTACTTTTTAACCACATGGATGCCTTTGCCTTGCCTATGCCCTAGCTAATCACTGAAATTCATTCACGAATGTGAATTTGCCATGTTAGAATTATTATGATTCCAATTCTGACATAAGGTGACTATTTGTGATGCATGCACTTGGGCTAAAGACGCTTTGAAAGGCAAAACAGCCTATTACCTTCACTTGTAACATCTATGCCTCCCTAGAAAAATGTCATGAAGGAATTCTTAACAGGACTGCTTTCCTGTCCAGACCACATGATTCAGGTAATGTACATTGTTCTTATCTAACTTAACAACTTCATCTCTAAGACTGAACACTAGTTCTAAGCATTCTGTTCACCAAAAAGGAATCATATCTTCACAAACCATCCAACAAATCAATATCTAATTGAGATCTCAATTTGTCCCACAATTACAAAAGAATTTCAAGGCCCTCTAGATCTATGCCTATTTATTTATTTCTCAATATGCACAGGTGAACAGCTAGACAATGCACTGACAAGATCCTGAAGAATATGTCTATTAGCTCCCCCAAAGACCAACATGATTGTCCTATCCTGCTACTATATAAATTTATGCATAATAATTTAATAAAATCCTAGTTTCTATATTTTATCCTATACTTTTAAATCACTTTATTGGTATGTAATTTGTGTATAAAAAGCTATACATTGGTGAGATCATCGGAAAGCGCCGCTGGTGGCGCGGGCAGAGCTGGCGCGTCATTGTCGTCATCGTTGCCCGACCGCTTTCCGGGAGGCTGGAGTCGAAGGCCGTGAGTCAGCCATAACGGCAGGTGAAGAAATTAATGAAGACTATCCAGTAGAAATTCACGAGTATTTGTCAGCGTTTGAGAATTCCATTGGTGCTGTGGATGAGATGCTGAAGACCACGATGTCTGTTTCTAGAAATGAGTTGTTGCAGAAGTTGGATCCACTTGAACAAGCAAAAGTGGATTTGGTTTCTGCATACACATTAAATTCAATGTTTTGGGTTTATTTGGCAACCCAAGGAGTTAATCCTAAGGAACATCCAGTAAAACAGGAATTGGAAAGAATCAGAGTATATATGAACAGAGTCAAGGAAATAACAGACAAGAAAAAGGCTGGCAAGCTGGACAGAGGTGCAGCTTCAAGATTTGTAAAAAATGCCCTCTGGGAACCAAAACCGAAAAATGCATCAAAAGTTGCCAATAAAGGAAAAAGTAAAAGTTAACTTTTTGGTTTTGGTGTACACATATTCAAAAAGTACATTTCCCCGCCCCCCCCGCCCCCCACAGAATAATTCTGTGGCAGGACAAGGTTTAAATGTGTTTCTTATTAATATGTAAATTCACAGTAAATATGTAAAGCTAAATACTTTCCTCTCCAAAGATCATTATCTTTATTGATTTGCACTGAGGATTTTAACATTGTGATATATTATATATTTATAATTTACCATCTCTTTTGATGAGACTCTTATTTCTTTATATAGGTCAGTCTTGCAAGTACCATTTTATAAGCAGCTGTGAAATTTAAGTGAAATGTTCTTTGTAAACATTTGTACTATTTTAAATGAATAATGACCTTATGAAGTATGCTATCTGTAGGCTGAAATTATAGGCACATCTGTTTTCACTATATGATATTAAGAAAGCATGAAATGACTTAAATGTTCATTTTTTTCTGTATAGATACTTTATCATGTTTTCATGATTTTAGGAATTACTGCTTTGTTGATATTCAAAGTGTAAAACTAAAACTTTATGGTTGTACTTTAATTCTTGGCATGTTGCCTCTATGTCCCATTTAAAATAAAATACATTCTCATTAACTTTAGATGGGAAATAAGGTTGTATGTTGATGGATGAATTTTGGCATGATGACTGTACTCTCAATAAAGGCTGAAAATGTTGTATAAAAACAAAACAAAACAAAAAGCTATACATTTTTATTGTATCTATCCCAATGAATTGGGGATATGAATATACCCATGAAAATATCATCATCATCAAGGCCACAAAGAGATCCTCATTTCCAAATGTTTCCGTCTGCCCTCATTAATACCATAATTGTTTGTCATGGTTTCTGCTGCTGCTGTTGCTATTAAGAAAAATTAACAAAACACCTACCCTCTTAGAAAATTTTAAGTATACAATGCAGTATTGTTCACTATGGGAATTCTGCTGTATAATAGATCTACAAAGCTTATTTATCTTGGAAAACTGAAACTTTGTGCATTTTAGCCTACACCTTTTCAGCTCCTAAATTATTTTGCTTTCTGTGCCTGGATTCTTTCACTTAACATAATGCCTTCCAGGTCCATCCATGTTGTCACAAATGGAAGGATTTTCTAATTTCTTAAGGGTGAATAATATTCTGTTGTATGCATAGGCACATTATATCCATTCATCCATTATGGATACTTAAGTTGTTTCCATATTTTGGCTACTGCAATGAAAATGGGAGTGCAGATATCCCCCTGACATATTGATTTAAGTTCCTTTGGATACATACCCAGAAGTGGCACTTATGGGTCATATGGTAGTTCTATTTTAAATTTTTATGCACTTCCATACTGTTTTCCATAATGGCTCTACCAATTTACATTCCCACCAGTAGTGTTGAAGGGTTCCCTTTTCTCCAAATCCTTGCTAATAATTGTTACCATTTTTTCTTAATAACAGCCAACCTAACAAGTATGATGTATTATTTCATTGTGATTTTGATTTACATTTCTCTGATGATTGGTGATATAAAGTACCTTTTCCCATACCCATGTATATTTGTATGTCTTCTTTGGAAAAATATCTATTCAAGTCCTTTAATTACTTTTTATCTTCAATTCAGTTGTATGAGTCCCTTGTATATTTTTTATATTGACCCATTATCAGATGTACAGTTTGAAAATATTTTCTCCCATTCCATAGTTTTCCATTTCATTTTATTATTTCCTTTTTTAGGCAGGACTTTTAAGTTTGATGTAATCTCAGTTGTTTATTCTTGCTTTTTTTCCTGTTTTTTTTTTTTTTGGTGTAATGTCCAAAAAAATCATTGCCCAGACCAATGTCATGGAGCTTATTTCCTATGTTTTCATCGAGGAGTTTTACGGTTTCAGCTCATACAGGTAAGTTTTTAATGCATTTTGAATTTATTTTTATGCATGGCATGAAGGTCCAACATCATTCTTTTGCATATAGAGATCCACTTTTCCCAGTATCATTTGTTGGAGATACTATCCTTTCCCCATTGTTTATTTCTGACACTATTGCTGAAGATCACTTGTACCTATGCTTGGGTTTGTTTCTGCGCTTGCTAATCTGTTTCATGGGTCTATATGTCTGATTTTATGCCAGTACCATACTGTATTAATTACTGTAGCTTTAAAACATAATTTGAAATCAGAAAGTAAGGGCCAGGTGCAGTGGCTCAGGCCTGTAATCCCAACACTTTGGGAGGTTGAGGCAGGTGGATCATCTGAGGCTACTCAGGAGGCTGAGGCAGGAGAATCACTCAAACCCAGGAGGCAGAGGTTGCAGTGAGCCAAGATCATGGCACTGCACTCCAGCCTGGGTGACAGAACAAGACTCCATTTCAAAAAAAAAAAAAAAAAAAATGCCAGGCACAGTGGCTCATGCCTGTAATCCTAGCACTTTGGGAGGCCAAGGCGGGAAGATCACTTGAGGTCAGCAGTTCAAAACCAGCCTGGCCAACATGGTAAAACCCCGTCTCTACTAAAAATACAAAAAAATTAGCCAGGCATGGTGGCGGGCGCTTGTAATCCCAGCTACTTGGGAGGCTGAGGCAGGAGAATTGCTTGATTGCTTGAACCTGGGAGAAGGAGGTTGCAGTGAGCTGAGATGGTGCCATTGCACTCCAGCCTGGGCGACAGAGTGAGACTCCGTATCAAAAAAAAAAATAAGAAAGTAATGTGCTTCCAGCCTTACTACTCTTGCTAAAATTTGCTTTGGCTATTCAAGGCCTTTTGAAATTGCATATGAATTTTAGGATTTGTTTTATGTCTGTGAAAAATGTCATTGGTATTTTCATAGGATTCACACAGAATCTGTAGATCACTTTGGGTACATGGACTTATTTGCAACACTATTAACTCTTCTAATCCATGAACATACAATACTGTCCCGTTTCTTTGTGTCTTCTTCAATATATCTCATGTGTTTTATAGTTTTCTGTGTGCATATCTTTTACTTCCTTGGTTAAATTTATTATTAAATATTTCATTTCTTTTCATGCTACTCTAAATGTTTTCTTCTTCACAGTTATTGTTAGTGTGTAGAAACACAACTGATATGGGGATGCTGATTTTGTAACCTGCAACTTTACTGAATACATTTATTAGTTCTAAGAGTTTTGGGAGTGGCACCATTCTATATTTGATGGGGGTGGGGGAAGCATCCTTAGGGTTTTCTATATATGAACTCATGTCATCTATAAACACATGATTTTACTTCTTCTATTCTGATTTGGATACCTTTAATTTCTTTTTCTTGACTAATTGCTTGGCTACTGCATTTGACTTCTGGTACTACATTGAATAGAATTGGTAAGAGTAGGCATCCTTGTCTTTTTCCTGTTGTTAGAGAAAAAGTCTTCAACTATTCACCACTGAGTGTAATGTTAGCTGTAGGCTAATATGGCCTTTTTATGTGGGGAAAATTCCTTGTATACCTAATTTGTTGTAAGTTTTTACTATGAAAAGATTTTGAATGCTGCGAAATGCTGTTTCTGCATCTATTGAAATGATCATATGATTACTGTCCTTCAAAATGGTAACAGTGAGCCATGCACAGTGGCTCATGCCTGCAATCACAGCACTTTGGGAGGTCAAGGTGGTGGATCACCTGAGGTCAGGAGTTCAAGACCAGCCTGGTCAACATGGAGAAACTGCATCTCTACTAAAAATACAAAAATTAGCCAGGCATAGTGGCAGGTGCCTGTAATTCCAGCTACTCAGGAGGCTAAGGCAGGAGAATTGCTTGAACCCAGGAGGCAGAGGCTGCAGTAAGCCAAGATTGCACCACTGCACTCCAGCCTGGGCAACAGAGTGAGAATCCAACTCAAAAAACAAAATGGTAATAGTAAGTCCTTACATATAAATAATTACTTTGAATGTATATTTAAGTGTAAATTGATTAAATCTCCAACAAAAACATGTCAAGTGGCTGAATGGATTTTTTTTTTAAGAACCCAACTACATGCTGCCCACAAGAGACTCACAAAAACTTTAAGAACACACAGGCCAGGCGCGGTGGCTCATGCCTGTAATCCCAGCACTTTGGGAGGCCATGGTGGGCGGATCACAAGCTCAAGAGATCGAGACCATCTTGGCCAACATGGTGAAACCCCGTCTCTACTAAAAATACAAAAATTAGCTGGGTGTGGTGGCGCGCACTTGTAGTCCCAGCTACTCAGGAGGCTGACGCAGGAGAATCACTTGAACCCGGGAGGCAGAAGTTGCAGTGACCTGAGATCGCGCCACTGCACTCCAGCCTGGAACACACAAAAGCTAAAAGTGAAGGGATGGAAAAAGATACTCCATGCAAATCAAAACCAAAAGAAGGCATGAGTGGCTATACTTATATAAGAAGAGAGATTTTAAGTTATTAGCTGCCTCATGAGACAAAGGTCGTTATATAATTATAAAGGGGTCGCCTCTCCCTCTCCCTCTCCCCTTTCTTTCTACGGTCTCCCTCTCTTGCCAAGCCTGGACTGTACTGCCATGATCTCGGCTTGCTGCAACCTCCCTGCCTCGGGCTCCCGTGATTCTCCTGCCTTGGCCCGCCGAGTGCCTGGGATTCCAGGCACACACCGCCACTACTGACTGATTTTTGTATTTTTGGTGGAGATGGGGTTTCGCCGTGTTGACTGGGCTGGTCTCCAGCTCCTGGCCTTGAGTGATCTGCCCCCCTCGGCCTCCCGAGGTGCTGGGATTGCAGACGGAGTCTCACTCACTCAATGCTCAATGTTGCCCAGGCTGGAGTGCAGTGGCGTGATCTCGGCTCGCTACAACCTCCACCTCCCAGCCACCTGCCTTGGCCTCCCAAAGTGCTAAGATTACAGCTTCTGCCCGCCTGCCACCCCGTCTAGGAAGTGAGCAGCGTCTCTGCCTGGCTGCCCATCGTCTGGGATGTGAGGAGCCCCTCTGCCCGGCTGCCCCGTCTGGAAGTGAAGAGCGCCTCTGCCCGGCCACCACCCCATCTAGGAAGTGAGGAGCGTCTCTGCCTGGCCGCCCATCGTCTGGGATGTGAGGAGCGCCTCTGCCCGGCCGCCCCGTCTGGGAAGTGAGTAGCGCCTCTGCCCGGCCACCCCGTCTGGGAGGAAGTGAGGAGTGCCTCTGCCTGGCTGCCCCGAATGGGAAGTGAGGAGCGCCTCTGCCCGGCTGCCCCGAATGGGAAGTGAGCAGCGCCTCTGCCTGGCCGCCCTGTCTGGGAAGTGAGGAGCACCTCTGCCCGGCCGCCACCCCATCTAGGAACTGAGGAGCGTCTCTGCCCAGCCGCCCCAAATGGGAAGTGAGGAGCGCCTCTGCCTGGCCACCCCGTCTGGGAAGTGAGGAGCGCCTCTGCCCGGCCGCCCCGTCTGGGATGTGAGGAGCACCTCTGCCCGGCCGCCACCCTGTCTGGGAGGCAAGGAGCGCCTCTGACTGGCAGCCCCGTCTGGGAACTGAGGAGCACCTCTGCCCGCCCACCCATCATCTGGGAAGTGAGGAGAGCCTCTGCCCAGCCACCCATCATCTGGGATGTGAGGAGCGCCTCTGCCCGGCCGCCCCGTCTGGGAAGTGAGAAGCGCCTCTGCCCAGCCGCCCCATCTGGGAGGTGTACCCAACAGCTCCGAAGAGACAGCGACCATCGAGAACGGGCCATGATGACAGTGGCGGTTTTGTCGAAAAGAAAAGGGGGAAATGTGGGGAAAAGAAAGAGAGATCAGATTGTTACTGTGTCTGTGTAGAAAGAAGTAGACATAGGAGACTCCATTTTTGTTCTGTACTAAGAAAAATTCTTCTGCCTTGGGATGCTGTTAATCTATAACCTTACCCCCAACCCCGTGCTCTCTGAAACATGTGCTGTGTCAACTCAGGGTTAAATGGATTAAGGGTGGTGCAAGATGTGCTTTGTTAAACAGATGCTTGAAGGCAGCATGCTCGTTAAGAGTCATCACCACTCCCTAATCTCAAGTACCCAGGGACACTGTGGAAGGCCGCAGGGACCTCTGCCTAGGAAAACCAGAGACCTTTGTTCACGTGTTTATCTGGTGACCTTCTCTCCACTATTATCCTATGACCCTGCCACATCCCCCTCTCCGAGAAACACCCAAGAATGATCAATAAATACTAAAAAATAAATAAATAAATAAATAAATAAAAATTAGCTGGGCATAAAAAAAATTATAAAGGGGTCAATCCATCAAGAGGTTATAACAATTTTAAATAATATGCATCGAGATAAGACTACCTGAATACATACAGCAACTATTAATAGATCTGAATCGAGAGACAGACAGCAATATAATAATAGCCTATTTACAGTAATGCCTCATTTACAACAATAGACAGTTCATCCAGACAACAAATGAATACGGAAACATCGGACTTGAACGATACTTTAGGCCAAATGGACCTAACTGACACATACAAAACATTCCACCCAACAGCAGCAGAACATACGTTCTCCTTGAGTGAATATGAAATATTTCCCATGATACGTTATGTGTTAGACCACAAAACATGTCTTAATATACTTAAGAAGACTGAAGTCATATCAAGTATATTTTCCAATGACAATAATTTGAAACTAGAAATCAATGACAGGAGAAAAACTGGAAAAATTCACAAATATGTAGAAATTAACACACTCCTAAACAAATGATGAGTCAAAAAAGAAATCCAAAGGGAAATCAGAAAGTATCTTCAGACAAACAAAAATGGAAATACAACATACTAAAACTCATGAAATGCAGCAAAAGCAGTTCTAAGTGGGAAGTTTATTGCAATAGATGTCTACTTAAAAAAGAAATAATGATCTCAAATAAATAACCTAATGTGATACACCAAAGAACGAGAAAAATAACAAATTAAGCCAATAGTTCATAGAAGGAAGAAAATTACAAAGAGCAGAAATAGGCCGGGCATGGTGGCTCATGCCTGTAATCCCAGCACTTTGGGAGGCCGAGGCAGGCAGATCACATGGTCAGATCAAGACCATCCTGGCTAACACGGTGAAACCCCATCTCTACTAAAAATACAAAAAATTAGCCGGGCGTTGTGGCAGGCACCTGTAGTCTCAGCTACTCAGGAGGCTGAGGCAGGAGAATGGCATGACCTGGGAGGCAGAGCTTGCAGTGAGCCAAGATCGCGCCACTGCACTCCAGCCTGGGCGACAGAGCAAAACTCCATCTCAAAAAAAAAAAAAAAAAAAACCAGCAATAAATAATAGAGACTAGAAAAACAATAGAAAAGGTTAACAAAACTAAAAGTTTTCTGAAAAGATAAAATCAGCAAATCTTTAGCTGGACTAAGAAAAAAGAGAGAGAAGGCCCAAATAACCTCAGTAAAGAAAAATGAGACATTACAACTGATACCATAGAAATAAAAAAAAGATAATAAGAAACTACCACAAACAAATTACATTCTAACAAACTGAACAACCTAGAAGAAAATTAGGAAATTCCTGGAAACATACAACCTACCAAGACTGAAGAAATAGAAAATCTGAAAAGACCAATAATGACCAAGAAGTGTCAATCAATAATAAAAAAATCTCCTATCAAAGAAATGCCCAAGACTTCCTGGCTTCATGGCTGAATTCTACCAAATATTTAAAGAAGAACTAATACAATCCTTCTCAAACTCTTCAAAAATCTTGAAGAGGAAGAAATACTTCTAAACTATTTCACAAGTCTTCATTAATCACCCTGATAACAAAGTCAGACATGGACATCACAAGAAAAGAAAATTATCCCTGATGAATATAGATGTAAAAATCTTCAACACAATACTAGCAAAACAAATTTAACAGTACATTAAAGGGATCATTCACCATGATCAAGTGGAATTTATCCCTGGAGTGCAAGGATGATTCAGCAAATCAATAAATGTTGGGCATCATATTAGCAGAATGAAAGACAAAACCATATGATCATAAGATGCAGAAAAAGCATTTGACAAAATTCAACATCCTTTCATAATAAGACCCATCAATAAATAGGTATAGAAGGAATGTACCTTAATATAATAAAATCCATATATCAGAACCCCATAGCTAACATTATTATACTCAACAGTGAAAAGTTGAAAGCTTTTCTTCTAAGATCAAAAACAAGGATACCCACTCTCACCACTTCTATTCAACATAGTACTAGAAGTCCAAGCCAGGACAATTAGTCAAGAAAAACAAATAAAATGCATCAAAATAGAAAAAGAATAAGTAAAATCATATTTGTTTCCAGATGATATACTTTCCTATATAGAAAACTCTAAAGATGTCCCCAAAAACTTGCAGAACAAATGAATCCAACAAAGTTGCAGGATACAAAAACCAATACAAAAATCAGTTGTGTTTCTATAAATTAACAACAAACTATCTAAAAAAGAAGGCAAGAAAACAATCCCATTTATAATAGCATAAAAAGAAATAAAATACTTGGGAATACACTTAATCAAAGAAGTGAAAGATCTTTTGCACTGAAAACTATAAGATGTTGATGAAATAAATTGAAGAACACACAAAGAATTGAAAATACATCCCATATTCATGAGTTGAAACAATATCGTTAAAATGTTCATGCTACCCAAAATAACTTAGAGATTCAATGTAATCCCTAGGAAAATTTCAATGACATTTTTCACAGAAATAAAAATAGATCCTAAAATTCATATGGGACCACAAAAGACCCTGAGTAGCCAAAGCAATCACAAGCAAAAAGAACAAAGGTGGAGGCATCACATTATCTCAAAATCTAATACACAAAGCTGTAGTAATCAAAACTGCATGACCCTAGCATCAAAACAGATACAGCCAAAAAGATGGCCAAATAGGAACAGCTCCAGTCTGCAGCTCCCAGCGAGATCAACACAGAAGGTGGATGATTCCTACATTTCCAACTGAGGTACCCAGTACATCTCAATAGGACTGGTTGGACAGTGGATGCAGCCCATGGAGGGTGAGCTGAAGCAGGGTGGGGTGTTGTCTCACCTGGGAAGTGCAAGGGGTCAGGGGATTTCCCTTCCCTAGCCAAGGGAAGCCATGAGAGACTGTACTGGGAGAAATGGTGCATTCTGGCCCAGACACTGCACTTTTCCCATGGTCTTCACCACCGGCAGACCAGGAAATTCTCTTGGTGCCTGGCTTAATGGGTCCCACCCCCACAGAGTCCAGCAAACTAAGATCCGCTGGCTTGAAATTATCTCTGCTAGCACAGCAGTCTAAGGTCAACCTGGGATACTCGACCTTGGTAGGGGGAGGGGCATCCACCATTGCTGAGGCTTGAGTAGGTGGTTTTACCTTACAGTGTAAACAAAGCCGCCAGGAAGTTCGAACTGGTTGGAGCCCACCGCAGCTCCCTGGGACAGAGCACCTGGGGGAAGGGGCGACTGTGGGCACAGCTTCAGCAGACTTAAACATCCCTGCCTGACAGCTCCGAAGAGAGGAGCAGTTCTCCCAGCAAAGTGTTCAAGCTCTGACAACGGACAGACTGCCTTCTCAAGTGGGTCCCTGACCATCCACGTATCCAGACTGGGAGATACCTCCCAGTAGGGGCCGATAGACACCTCATACAGGAGAGCTCTGGCTGGCATCTGGCTGGTGCCCCTCTGAGATGAAGCTTCCAGAGGGAGGAACAGGCAGCAATCTTTGTTGTTCTACAGCCTCTGCTGGTGATACCCAGGCAAACAGGGTCTGGAGTGGACCTCCAGCAAACTCCAGCAGACCTGCAGCAGAGGGGTCTGTTAGAAAGAACACTAACAAACAGAAAGGAATAGTATCAACATCACCAACCTCACAGACCAAATGTAGATAAATCCACAAAGATGGGGAGAAACCAGCGCAAAAAGGCTGAAAATTCCAAAAACCAGAACATCTCTTCTACTGCAAAGGATCACAGCTGCTCACCAGCAAGGGAATAAAACTGGATGGAGAATGAGTTTGACGAATTGACAGAAGTATGCTTCAGAAGGTGGGTAATAACAAACTCCTCTGAGCTAAAGGAGCATGTTCTAACCCAATGCCAGGAAGCTAAGAACCTTGAAAAAAGGTTACAGGAATTGCTAACTAGAATACCCAGTTTAGAGAAGAACATAAATGACCTGATGGAGCTGAAAAACACAGGACGAGAACTTTGTGAAGCATACACAAGTATCAATAGCCAAATTGATCAAGCGGAAGAAAGGATATCAGAGATTGAAGATCAACTCAATGAAATAAAGCAAGAAGACAAGATTAGACAAAAAAAGAGTGAAAAGAAAGAAACACCTCTCCCTCTCCCTCTCCCTCTCCCCTTTGCATGGTCTCCCTCTGATGCCGAGCGGAGGCTGGACTGTACTGCCGCCATCTCGACTCACTGCAACCTCCCTGCCTGATTCTCCTGCCTCAGCCTGCCAAGTGCCTGGGATTGCAGGCACGCGCCGCCACGCCTGACTGGTTTTCGTATTTTTTGGTGGAGACGGGGTTTCGCCGTGTTGGCCGGGCTGGTCTCCAGCTCCTGACCGCGAGTGATCTGCCTGCCTCGGCCTCCCGAGGTGCCAGGATTGCAGACGGAGTCTCGCTCACTCAGGGCTCAATGTTGCCCAGGCTGGAGTGCAGTGGTGTGATCTTGGCTGGCTACAACCTCCACCTCCCAGCCGCCTGCCTTGGCCTCCCAAAGTGCCGAGATTGCAGCCTCTGCCCGGCCGCCACCCCATCTTGGAAGTGAGGAGCGTCTCTGCCTGGCCGCCCATCGTCTGGGATGTGAGGAGCCCCTCTGCCCGGCCGCCCAGTCTGGGAAGTGAGGAGCACCTCTTCCTAGCCATCACCCTGTCTAGGAAGTGAGGAGCGTCTCTGCCCCGCCGCCCATCGTCTGGGATGTGGGGAGCACCTCTGCCCCGCCGCCCCCTCCGAGATGTGAAGAGCGCCTCTGCCTGGCCGTGACCCCGTCTGGGATCTGAGGAGTGTCTCTGCCCCGCCACCACCCCATCTGGGAGGTGAGGAGCGTCTCTGACCGGCCGCCCCGTCCGAGAAGTGAGGAGCCCCTCCGCCCAGCAGCTGCCCCGTCTGGGAGGTGAGGAGCGTCTCCACCGGGCAGCCGCCCCGTCCAGGAGGTCGGGGGGCAGCCCCCGCCAGGCCGGCCGCCCCATCCGGGAGGTGGGGGGCGCCTCTGCCCAGCCGCCCCGTCTGGGAAGTGGGGAGCCCCTCTGCCCGGCCACCACCCCATCTGGGAGGTGTACCCAACAGCTCATGGAGAACGGGCCATGATGACAGTGGCGGTTTTGTTGAATAGAAAAGGGGGAAATGTGGGGAAAAGAAAGAGAGATCAGATTGTTACTGTGTCTGTGTAGAAAGAAGTAGACATAGGAGACTCCATTTTGTTCTGTACTAAGAAAGGTTCTTCTGCCTTGGGATGCTGTTAATCTATAACCTTACCCCCAACCCCATGCTCTCTGAAACATGTGCTGTGTCCACTAAGGGTTAAATGGATTAAAGGTGGTGCAAGATGTGCTTTGTTAAACAGATGCTTGAAGGCAGCATACTCGTTAAGAGTCATCACCACTCCCTAATCTCAAGTACCCAGGGACACAAACACTGCGGAAGGCGGCAGGGCCCTCTGCCTAGGAAAACCAGAGAACTTTGTTCACGTGTTTATCTGCTGACCTTCCCTCCACTATTGTCCTATGACCCTGCCAAATCCCCCTCTCAGAGAAACACCCAAGAATGATCAATAAACACTAAAAAAAAATAAAAAAATAAAAAAGAAAGATTCAACATTAGGGCTCCCTCTTTCCCAGCCCTTTCTCCCGTCACCCTCTCCCATAATGACCATGGTTGGGAAAACACAGGACAAAGAAGATTACATCAGGATGTCAAGTTTCTTCCCAATAAATTAACCAAACAATGATAGGAGATTTATTAGCAGAAGAGCAGAAGATAATTCTGGAATCACAATAATTTTAGAAAACAAAACTCCTTCTGATAAATTTATTTTGAAAGAATAATCAGATGTCTCCTAGAATTGCAAACATTGTCCAATCCATCAGAGACAGGGAAAAACTTCTAAAAGTTCCCAATTCCCTATGTATAAATGGAGAAATATGCAAATCTGGAAGAAAGATGAATAACACATGAGTAATAGAAGACAGGTAAAATAACAGCATGTATCATGGAAAAGGCCATATGTTCATTTTATGTTTCTTTTGTCTTCATTTTTTCTGAGTTCATTAAATAGGCTTTTTTTTCCTCCTGGAAAAAAAAAAAAAAAAAGAAACAAACAAAACCTCCAAGAAATATGGGACTATGTGAAAAGACTAAATCTACATTTGATTCATGTACCTGAAAGTGACAGGGAGAATTGAACCAAGTTGGAAAACACTCTTCAGGATATTATACAGGAGAACTACCCCAATCTAGCAAGGCAGGCCAACATTCAAATTCAGGAAATACAGAGAACACGACAAAGATATTCCTCAAGAAGAGCAACCCCAAGACACATAATTGTCAGATTCACCAAGGTAGAAATGAAAAAAAAAAAAATGTTAAGGGCAGCCAGAGAGAAAGGTCGGGTTACCCACAAAAGGAAGCCCATCAGACTAACAGCAGATCTCTCAGCAGAAAACATGCAAGCCAGAAGAGATTGGGGGCCGATATTCAACATTCTTAAAGAAAAGAATTTTCAACCCAGAATTTCATATCCAGCCAAACTAAGCTTCCTAAGCAAAGGAGAAATAAAATACTTTACAGACAAGCAAATGCTGAGAGATTTTGTCACCACCAGGCCTGCCTTTACATGAGCTCCTAAAGGAAACACTAAACATGGAAAGGAATAACCGGTACCAGCCACTGCAAAAACATACCAAATTGTAAAGACCATCGATGCTATGAAGAAACAGCATCAACTAACGGGCAAAATAACCAGCTAGCATCATAATGACAAGCTCAAATTCACACAGATCAATATTAACCTTAAATGTAAATTAGCTAAATGCCGCAATCAAAAGACACAGACTGGCAAATTGGACAAAGAGTAAAGACCCACTGGTGTGCAGGAGACCATCTCACATGCAAAGACACACATAGGCTCAAAATAAAGGGATGGAGGAAGATTTATCAAGCAAATGGAAAGCAAAAAAAAGCAGGGTTTGCAATCCTAGTCTCTGATGAAACAGACTTTAAAGCAGCAGAAATCAAAAGAGAAAAGGGCATTACATAATCATAAAGGGATCAATGCAGCAAGAAGAGCTAACTATCCTAAATATATATGCACCCAATACAGGAGCACCCAGATTCATAAAGCGAGTCCTTAAAGACCTACAAAGAGACTTAGACTCCCACACAATTATTGTGGGAGACTTTAACACCCCACTGTCAATATTAGACAAATCAACGAGACAGAAAATTAACAAGGATATCCAGGACTTGAACTCAGCTCCAGACCAAGCAGAACTAATAGACATCTACAGAACTTTCCACAACAAATCAACAGAATATACATTCTTCTCAACACCACATTGCACTTATTCTAAAATTGACCACAAAATTGGAAGTAAAATACTCCTCAGCAAATGCAAGAGAACAGAAATCATAACAAACAAGTCTCTCAGACCACAGTGCAATCAAACTAGAACTCAGGATTAAGAAACTTACTCAAAACCAAACAACTACATGAAAACTGAACAACTTACTCCTGAATGACTACTGGGTACATAATGAAATGAAGGCAGGAATAAAGATGTTCTTTGAAACCAATGAGAATAAAGACACAATGTACCAGAATCTTTGGGACACATTTAAAGCACTGTGTAGAGGGAAATGTATAGCACTAAATGCCCACAAGAGAAAGAAGGCAAGATCTAAAACCAACACCCTAACATCACAATTAAAAGAACAAGAGAAGCGAGAGCAAACAAATTCAAAAGCTAGAAGAAGACAAGAAATAACTAAGATCGGAGCAGAACTGAAGGAGATAGAGACACAAAAAGCCCTTCAAAAAATCAATGAATCCAGGAGCTGGTTTTTTGAAAAGATCAACAAAATAGATAGACTGCTACCCAGATTAATGAAGAAGAAAGGGGAGAAAGATCAAACAGACGCAATAAAAAATGATAAAGGGAATATCACCACAGATCCCACAGAAATACAAACTACCATCAGAGAATACTATAAACACCTCTACACAAATAAACTAGAAAATCTAGAAGAAATGGATAAATTCCAGGACACATACACCCTCCCAAGACTAAACCAGGAAGAAGTCAAATCCCTGAATAGACCAATTACAAGTTCTGAAATGGAGGCAGTAATTAATAGCCTGCCAACCAAAAAAAGTCCAGGACCAGACGGATTCACAGCCAAATTCTACCAAAGGTACAAAGAGGAGCTGGTACCATTCCTTCTGAAACTATTCCAAACAATAGAAAAAGAGAGAATCCTCCCTAACTCATTTTATGAGGCCAGCACCTTCCTGATACCAAGACCTGGCAGAGACACAACAAAAAAAGAAAATTTTAAGCAAATATCCCTGATGAACATCAATGAGAAAATCCTCAATAAAATACTGATAAACTGAATCCAGAAGCACATCAAAAAGCTTGTCCACCATGATCCAGTGGGCTTCATTCCTGGGATGCAAGGCTGGTTCAACATACACAAATCAATAAACGTAATCCATCACATAAACAGAACCAATGACAAAAACCACATGATTATGTAAATAGATGCAGAAAAGGCCTTCAACAAAATTCAACAGCCCTTCATGCTGAAAATTCTCAATGAACTAGGTATTGACTGAAAGTATCTCAAAATAATAAGAGCTATTTATGACAAACCCACAGCCAATATCAGTATATCATACTGAATGGGCAAAAACTGGAAGCATTCCTTTGAAAACTGGCACAAGACAAGGATGCCCTCTCTCACCACTCCTATTCAACATAGTATTGGAAGTTCTGGCCAGGGCAATCAGGCAAGAGAAAGAAATAAAGTGTATTCAATTAGGAAAAGAGGAAGTCAATTGTCTCTCTTTGCAGATGACATGATTGTTTATTTAGAAAACCCCATCGTCTCAGCCCAAAATCTCCTTAAGCTGAGCAATTTCAGCAAAGTCTCAGGATACAAAATCAATATGCAAAAATCACAAGTATTCCTATACACCAAGAACAGACAGAGAGCCAAATCATGAGTGAACTCCCATTCACAACTGCTACAAAGAATAAAATACCTAGGAATACAACTTACAAGGGATGTGAAGAACCTCTTCAAGGAGAACTACAAACCACAGCTCAAGGAAATAAGAGAGGAAACAAACAAATGGAAAAACATTCCATGCTCATAGATAGGAAGAATCAATACCATGAAAATGGCCATACTGCCCAAAGTAATTTATAGATTCAATGCCATCCCCATCAAGCTACTATTGACTTTCTTCACAGAATTAGAAAAAAAACTACTTTAAATTCATATGGAACCAAAAAAGAGCCCTCATAGCCAAGATAATCCTAAGCAAAAAGAATAAAGCTGGAGGCATCATGCTACCTGGCTTCAAACTATACTACAAGGCTACAGTAACCAAAACAGCATGGTACTGGTACCAAAACAGATATATAGACCAATGGAACAGAACAGAGGCCTCAGAAATAACACCACACATCTACAACCATATGATCTTTGACAAACCTGAGAAAAACAAGCAGTGGAGAAAGGATTTCCTATTTAATAAATGGTGTTGGGAAAACTGGCTAGCCATAGGCAGAAAACTAAAACTGGGATCCCTTCCTTACACCTTATACAAAAATTAACTCAAGATGGATTAGACACTTAAACGTAAGACCTAAAACCATAAAAACCCTAGAAGAAAACCTAGGCAATGCCATTCAGGACATAGGCATGGGTAAAGACTTCATGACTAAAACACCAAAAACAATGGCAACAGAAGCCAAAATTGACAAATGGGATCTAATTAAACTAAAGAACTTCTGCACAGCAAAAGAAACTATCATTAGGCTGAACAGGTAACCTACAGAATGGGAGAAGATTTTTGCAATCTATCCATCTTACAAAGGGCTAATATCCAGAATCTACAAAGAATTTAAACAAATTTACAAGAAAAAAACAAACAACCCCATCAAAAAGTGGGTGAAGAATATGAATAGACATTTCTCAAGACATTTATGCAGCCAACAAACTTATAAAAATATGCTCATCATCACTGGTCATTAGAGAAATGCAAATCAAAACCACAATGAGATATCATCTCATGCCAGTTAGAATGGCGATCATTAAAAAGTCAGGAAACAACAGATGCTGGAGATGATGTGGAGAAACAGGAACACTTTTACACTGTTGGTGGGAGTGTAAATTAGTTCAACCATTGTGGAAGACAGTGTGGTGATTCCTCAAGAATCTAGAACTAGAAATACCATTTGACCCAGCAATCCCATTACTGGGTATATACCCAAAGAATTATAAATTATTCTACTATAAAAACACATGCACACATATGTTATTGCAGCACTGTTCACAATGGCAAAGACTTGGAACCAACCCAAGTGCCCATCAATGATACACTGGATAAAGCAAATGTGGCACATATACACCATGGAATACTATGCAGCCATAAAAAAGGATGAGATCATGTCCTTTGCAGGGACATGGATGAAGCTGGAAACCATCATTCTCAGCAAACTAACACAGGAACAGAAAACCAAACACCGCATGTTCTCGCTCATAAGTGGGAGTGGAACAATAAGAACACATGGACACAGGGAGGGGAACATCACACACCAGGGCCTGTCAGCAGGTGGGGGCCTAGAGGAGGGATAGCATTAGGAGAAATACCTAATGTAGATGACAGGTTGATGGGTGCAGCAAACCAGCATGGCACATGTATACCTATGTAACAAACCTGCACATTCTGTACATGTACCCCAGAACTTAAAGTATAATTTAGAAAAAGGAAAAAAAAAAACAGACATAGCCAATGGAACAGAATAGAGAGCCCAGAAATAAATTTACATATATATGATCAACTGATCTTTGACAAATGTCCAAAAACACATAATTAGGAAAAGAATGTCTCTTCAATAAATTGTGTTGAAGAGACTACAGAAGAATGAAATAGGGTCCTTATCTCATCTCATATACAAAAATAGACCCAAAATGAATTAAAAACTTAAACGTAAAACCTGAAACTGTAAAACTACTTGAAGAAAACAGGGTGAAAACTTCTTGACATTGGTCTTGGAAAAGATTTTTTTGATATGACCCCAAAAGCACAGGTAACAAAAGCAAAAATAGACAAATGGGACTGCATCAAGCTAAATAGTTTCTGTAGAGCAAAGGAAACAATCAATGGAATAAAGATACAAACTATGGAATGGGAGAAAATATTTGCAAACCATACATCTGATAAGAGTTTAATATCCAAGATGTAAAAGGAGCTCAACTCAACTACAAGAAAACAAATAACACCATTTAAAAATGGGCAAATGGTTTGATATTTCTCAAAAAAAGACATGTGAATGGTCAACAGGGTATATGAAAAAAATGTTCAACATCACTAATCATCAAGGAAAAGTAAATTTAAACCACCATGTAATATTACCTCACATCTGTTATCAAAAAAAATGGCTATTATCAAAAAGAAAAAACATTTAAGTACTGGCAAGACTGTGGAGAAAAGGGAACTCTTATACACTGTTAGTGAGAATGTAAATTAGTTCAGCTTTATGGAAAACAGTATGGAGATTCTTCAAAAAAGATAAAAACAGAACTACCGAATGACCAAAAAATTCCATTTCTGAGTATACATCTAAAGGAAATGGGATAAATCATGTTGAGTAGATACCCATACTCCCATGTTCACTGCAGTATTATTCACAATAACTACAATATGGAATCAACCTAAGTGTCCATAAATGTAAAAATAGATAAAGAACATGTGGAAGATATATATATACAGATATATATATTAAATATAAATATAAATATAAAATATTATCCAGCCTTAAAAAGAAGGAAATCCTGTCATCTGCAACAACATGGATGAAACTGAAGGGCATTATGCTAAGAAGTCAGGTACAGAAAGACAATTACTGCATGATCTCACTTATATGTAGAACCCTAAAAAGTCAAACTCATGGAAATAGAGAACAGAATGCTGGTCACTAGAGGCTGGGGTTGGGGGAAAATGCGGAGATGTTGGTCAAAGGGTACAAAATTTCAGCTAGACAAAGGGAAAGTTTCTAGAGAGTAGTTTTTAAGTGTTTTCACCAGAAAAAAAAAGATATGTATGTGAGGATTTTGGGTCTGTTACATAGCTTGATTTAGCGATTCCACAAGGTATGTACATATAAAAACATCACATTTTATACCATAAATATATATAATTTTGTCAATAAAAAATAAAACATTTATTTTAAAAAGAAATTAAATGAGTTTACAGGTGAAAAAATATTCACAAACTACATTTTGTATCATCGCAACTTTTAACTTTTTTAACTATGGAAAAATACATATAACATAAAATTTACCATCTTAATCATTTTAAGTGTATAGTTCAGCAGTGTTACGTAACTTTACATTATTTTACAACCAATCTCCAGAACTCTTCTCCTCATGTAAAACTGAAGCTTTGTGTGCATCAAACAATAACTCCCCATTTCCCCCTCCTGTACCCCCTGGCAACCATCATTCTATCTTCTGTGTCTATGAAGTTGACACTACTCTAGATACCTCATGTAAGAGGAATAATTGCATTTGTCTTTTTTGTGGCTGGCTTATTATACTTAGCAGAATGTCCTCAGGGTTCATCCATGTTGTAGCATGTATTAGAATTTCCTTTAAGACTCAATAATAATTTCATTATATGTATATGCCACATTTTGTTTATCCATTTATTCATTGTTGCACATGTGGGTTGCTTCCATCTTTTGGCTATTGTGAATAATGCTGCAACAAACATGGATGTACAAATATCCCTTCAACACTCTGTTTTCAATTTTGGGGTATATATGCCCAGAAGTGGAATTGCTGGATCATATGGTAATTCTGTTTTTAATTTTTTTAGGAACCAATATACTATTTTCCCATAGCACATATTTTACATTTCATTTTACATTCTCTATGTTTATAACTTTCCATGTAAAAATTATACATACATAAAATCATAAAAATTGATATAAGAAATTCTAAATTTGTTGATAGAGGTGTTATTTTCTTCTTTATGTTTTCAATATTTCTGCAATAAACACGTACTAACTTTTTTCAATGAACATATTACATATGGAAAAATACAATTTTATCTGTCTTTTTTTAAAAATAGAAAAATAATAAAATGCAAAAACAAAAAAGCTTACCTCTCCAACATATTTGCCTGGTTTTCAAATACTTTCAACATGGCATTAAATCGATTAGTCATTGAATGAGCAGTTTCTATTATTTAAAAAGTCAAAAATGTTAAAGGTTTTATAAATAGCTTAAGTTATAGCTCTATGCTAAATATAACTGCTATAGATGTGAAAGCTAAACAAACATAAAGAGGGGCTAGCATGGGCTACATGACTATTAACAGAATGCTTATGAGGAGAATAGCTACCATTTTATTAAACACCTATTATGTGCAAATCACCATGTTATATTGCATTCTCTTATTCTTAATCTAAAAAATAAGATACTGTCATAATTTTCAAATAAAGAAGTTCAGGCTCAAAGAGGTTACATAACTTGATCAATACTATATATCTAGTAAAAGACAAAACTGGATTAATGTCCAACATATGTGACCTTCTTATGATATGGAATATCAGAGGGACTATAGCATACTAAAACAGAACTGCTTTAGTTGCTGTTGCTAAGTCAATAAGGTCTATGGGAAGGATCTAGCTAACCTGTTAAGCTTTACAACTGTATCAAAGAACCCAAAAGAGAACCTAAGATGCTACTTAAAAGAGAACCAACATAATAATGATCCATAATAATCAATGAACTATTGGGGTAATACCACAAGACTCTTCAATCTTGTGACATAAAAAGTATATGACAGAAGACAGTCCCTGCACTAAGTTTTCTGCTAGATAAACAAGACATGACACAAAGAAAATGTTAAATAATATAGAAGCATACAAGAGTTCCTAAACATTAATTATATTTTTTCTATCCCACGTGTCAAAAGAGTGGTATAGAAGAATAATAAATATTTAGGAGCTGAGAAGTTAAAGTAGAAAAACATAAAGAAGCTAAGCCTTAAAGAATGGACAGAGTTTCATTAGAGAGAAAAAAATGAAAAGTAAACACCCTAAGCAAAGGCAGAAAAAGTAGAAATGTGTAAAATATATTCAGGGTACCAAATATATCAAGTACAACCAAGAAACCAAGTCAAACAGAGGCTTTACTTTGAGAGAGTCAATATTCCTCAAAGATTCAAATAGGATACTGGGAGAAGCCAGCTTCGTAAGAATTAAATTTATAATTTTTTGTAGGTAAGAGAGAATAATTTAAAATGTTTACATAAAAAGTTACAGTAAATGATAAAATAAAACACCAACTTTTTTTTTTTTGAGGCGGAGTCTCGCTCTGTCGCCCAGGCTGGAGTGCAGTGGCGCGATCTCAGCTCACTGCAAGCTCTGCCTCCCGGGTTCACTGCCATTCTCCTGCCTCAGCCTCCCGAGTAGCTGGGACTACAGGAGCCCACCACCACACCCAGGTAATTTTTTTGTATTTTTAGTAGAGACAGGGTTTCACTGTGTTAGCCAGGATGGTCTCAATCTCCTGACCTCATGATCAGCCCGTCTGGGCCTCCCAAAGTGCTGGGATTACAGGCGTGAGCCACTGCACCCAGCCAAAATAAAACAATATTTTAAGAGTAATCTGATCATAGCATATGAGACGATTTTAAATTCTGCCCTAAATATGGTAAAGGACTACAAGGAACATCAACTATTATTTCAGCCACAATTTGAAAATTCAGTCCCCAGAAAGAAGAAAAAGCCATTACAAAACATTCCTGGGGGAAAAAAAGGAAGAACACAAAATGACATTAGCAAGATGAGAAAGTAGGAGATATCAGTCTTCATCTCCCCACAAAGAAACAACCACTAGACAGCTATCCATGGATGAAAGTGGCCTTGGTAGGGCTCAAAGTCTCAAAGAAGTTGCAGCAAGATAGTAAAGCAAAAAAATGGAGAATAACCACACAGACAGGATAGCTGAGGAGATCAGCATACCAGAGACAGCTGGAGACAGCAAGGAATGAGGAAGAGTGCAGGAACTATCACTATGAGCCATGCAACATGTCCCACCATGGTTCCTAGTAGCCTGCTCTACAGAGAACACTGACAGCTCTCACCACTGAGATAACTAATAACCACTGCCACCATTAAACCCCCAGATAAGAGAAATGTTGCTCCATCCACCACCAAGAAGGAACCACTGTTGTGCCAACCCAGGACCAGAGCCACCATGCCCCAATTCCATGTGTGACCCAGACCACAGAGTCACAATCTTTCCATATGTACCCAGGCTCCAGCACTGGCTTGAACGTTGGATCACGCACTTCCATGCCTCAGACACCACAGCCCCCTTCACTGAGGGCTAGCCCCACCCCAGGCCCTAGAGCCATGCTCACTCTGCACCAGCCTGCACAATGAACCCTAGCTCTGCCACTCCTCTAGGAATCCTATGCTTCAGGTATCTGAGCCACTGCCACAGTGAGCTAAGCCACAGCTCAATCCTGGAACCACTGTTGCTCTGCATGTGTTCACACTCCAGTCCACATCTCTAAGGCTGCACCATGCACATGTATAATATAGTCACCAGAGCCACTGGCTTTACATGCTAGCCTTGCCCAGGGCCCTGAAGCTGCAGTCTCTCAGTACACATGTGGGCTGCAACCTCAGCTCTGCTGCAACTCTTTGAGACTCTGACTGCACATGCATCAGACATCAGAGCTACCACCACAACAAGCTAGCCCACGCAACTGTTGCTCTCCAGGTGTGACCACATTCCAGAATGTGGCTCTGCAACCACTCAACAAGTGCCTGCATTCTAGACACCAGAACCATCAATGCAGCAGGGATATCCATATCACAGTCCTCAGAGCAGCAGTAGACTTGCACACACTAGCATCTGGACCCCAAAGCCACTGTCAATCCATACATGCCTGTGCTCCCAGATCCAAGCTCCTTGACCACTCCACAGGTATCATGCATCAGACATTAGTACCACTGTCACTAGAAGCACACCCACCAGCCAAATCCAGAACCAAGAGGTGTCACCTCTGCCACAGCTTCCCTTAGGGAAGTAAAAGAGATTAGAAGAATTCTGTCAGGCTTTCCCACTGTTGCAGATACCTACAGCCTTGGCCACTGTACACCACTGAAATTTTTACCCATATCAACCACAGCCGAAAAAGCTACATGAACACTAAACTGCCACAACCTCACTGGATCCTGAATTGCCACACCCCACCCAGCTAGTGTACTCACAACCACCCATAGGTGAAGATCTTTTCATATAAAACTAGTCCATAAAGTCTAGAAGAAGTGACTCTATCAATATCTGACGAAATATTCAAATAATAGTTTTAAGGAAGCTCAGTAAGCTATAAGAAAACACTGATGGACAACTTAACAAAAATCAGAAAAACAATACACGAACAAAATGAGAAGTTTAACAGAGTGATAGAAATCATACAGAAGAACCATACAGAAATTCTGATGCTGGGGGGTTGGAGCCAAGATGGCCAAATAGGAACAGCTCCAGTCTACAGCTCCCAGCGTGAGCGACGCAGAAGACGGGTGATTTCTGCATTTCCAACTGAGGTACCGGGTTCATCTCACTGGGGAGTGTCGGAAAGTGGGTGCAGGACACTGGGTGCAGCGCAACGAGCATCAGCCGAAGCACAGCAAGGCATTGCCTCACCTGGGAAGCACAAGGGATCAGGGAATTCCCTTTCCTAGTCAAAGAAAGGGGTGACAGACGGCACCTGGAAAAACAGGTCACTCCCACCCTAATACCGCGCTTTTCCAATGGTCTTAGCAAACAGCACACCAGGAGATTATATCCCGCGCCTGGCTTGGAGGGTCCTGCGCCCACGGAGCCTCACTCATTGCTAGCACAGCAGGCTGAGATCAAACTGCAAGGCCACAGCAAGGCTGAGGGAGGGGCGCCCGCCATTGCCGAGGCTTGAATAGGTAAATAAAGCAGCCAGGAAGCTCAAACTGGGTGGAGCCAACCACAGCTCAAGGAGGCCTGTCTGCCTCTGTAGACTCCACCTCTGAGGGCAGGCCATTGCCAAACAAAAGGCAGCAGAATCCTCTGAAGACTTAAATGTCCCTGTCTGACAGCTTTGAAGAGAGTAGTGGTTCTCCCAGCACGCAGCTGGAGATCTGAGAACGGACAGACTGCCTCCTCAAGTGGGTCCCTGACCCCTGAGTAGCCTAAATGGGAGGCACCCCCCAGAAAGGGCAGACTGACACTTCACATGGCCAGGTACTCCTCTGAGACAAAACTTCCAGAGGAACGATCAGGCAGCAATATTTGCTGTTCACCAATATCTGCTGTTCTGCAGCCTCCGCTGCTGATACCCAGGCAAACAGGGTCTGGAGTGGACCTCCAGCAAACTCCAACAGACCTGCAGCTGAGGGTCCTGACTGTTGGAAGGAAAATTAACAAACAGAAAGGACATCCACACCAAAACCCCATCTGTAAGTCACCATCATCAAAGACCAAAGGTAGATAAAACCACAAAGATGGGGAAAAAACAGAGCAGAAAAACTGGAAACTCTAAAAATCAGAGTGCCTCTCCTCCTCCAAAGGAACGCAGCTCCTCACCAGCAATGGAACAAAGCTGGACGGAGAATGACTTCGACGAGTTGAGAGAAGAAGGCTTCAGACAATCAAACTACTCTGAGCTAAAAAAGGAAGTTCAAACCCATGGCAAAGAAGTTAAAAACCTTGAAAAACAATTAGACGAATGGCTAACTAGAATAACCAATGCAGAGAAGTCCTTAAAGGACTGATGGAGCTGAAAACTAAGGCACGAGAACTACATGACGAATGCACAAGCCTCAGTAGCCGATTCGATCAACTGGAAGAAAGGGTATCAGTGATGGAAGATCAAATGAACGAAATGAAGTAAGAAGAGAAGTTTAGAGAAAAAAGAATAAAAAGAAACGAACAAAGCCTCCAAGAAATATGGGACTATGTGAAAAGACCAAATCTGATTAGTGTACCTGAAAGTGATGGGGAGAATGGAACCAAGTTGGAAAACACTCTTCAGGATATTATCCAGGAGAACTTCCCCAATCTAGCAAGGCAGGCCAACATTCAAATTCAGGAAACACAGAGAACACCACAAAGACATTCCTCGAGAACAGCAACTCCAAGACATATAATTGTCAGATTCACCAAAGTTGAAATGAAGGATAAAATGTTAAGGGCAGCCAGAGAGAAAGGTCCAGTTACCAACAAAGGGAAGCCCATCAGACTAACAGCTGATCTCTCGGCAGAAACTCTACAAGCCAGAAGAGAGTGGGGGCCAATATTCAACATTCTTAAAGAAAAGAATTTTCAACCCAGAATCTCATATCCAGCCAAACTAAGCTTCATAAGTGAAGGAGAAATAAAATCCTTTACAGACAAGCAAATGCTGAGAGATTTTGTCACCATCAGGCCTGCCCTAAAAGAGCTCCTGAAGGAAGCACTAAACATGGAAAGGAACAACCAGCCACTGCAAAAACATGCCAAATTGTAAAGATCGTCGAGGCTAGGAAGAAGCTGCATCAACTAATGAGCAAAATAACCAGCTAACATCATAATGACATGATCAAATTCACACATAACAATATTAACCTTAAATGTAAATGGGCTAAATGCTCCCATTAAAAGACACAGACTGGCAAATTGGATAAAGACTCAAGACCCATCAGTGTGCTGTATTCAGGAAACCCATCTCACGTGCAGAGACACACACAGGCTCAAAATAAAGGGATGGAGGAAGATCTACCAAGCAAATGCAAAACAAAAAAAGGCAGGGGTTGCAATCCTAGTCTCTGATAAAACAGACTTTAAACCAACAAAGATCAAAAGAGACAAAGAAGGCCATTACATAATGGTAAAGGGATCAATTCAACAAGAAGAGCTAACTAACCTAAATATATATGTACCCAATACAGGAGCACCCAGATTCATAAAGCAAGTCCTTGGAGACCTAGAAAGAGATGTAGACTCCCACACAATAATAATGGGAGACTTTAACAACCCACTGTCAACATTAGACAGATCAAAGAGACAGAAAGTTAACAAGGATATCCAGGAATTGAACTCAGCTCTGCACCAAGTGGACCTAATAGACATCTACAGAACTCTCCACCCCAAATCAACCGAATATACAATCTTCTCAGCACCACACAGCACTTATTCCAAAATTGACCACATAGTTGGAAGTAAAGCACTCCTCAGCAAATGTAAAAGAACAGAAATTATAACAAACTGTCTCTCAGACCACAGTGCAATCAAACTAGAACTCAGGATTAAGAAACTCACTCAAAACTGCTCAACTACATGGAAACTGAACAACCTGCTCCTGAATGACTACTGGGTAAATAATGAAATGAAGGCAGGAATAAAGATGTTCTTTGAAACCAACAAGAACAAAGACATAACATCCTAGAATCTCTGGGACACATTCAAAGCAGTGTGTAGAGGGAAATTTATAGCACTAAATGCCCACAAGAGAAAGCAGGAAAGATCTCTAAAATGGACACCCTAACATCACAATTAAAAGAACTAGAGAAGCAAGAGCAAACACATTCAAAAGCTAGCAGAAGGCAAGAAATAACTAAGATCAGAGCAGAACTGAAGGAAATAGAGACACAAAAAACCCTTCAAAAATTCAATGAATCCAGGAGCTGATTTTTTGAAAAGATCAACAAAATTGATAGACCACTAGCAAGACTAATAAAGAAGAAAAGAGAGAAGAATCAAATAGACGCAATAAAAAATGATAAAGGGGATATCACCACCAATCCTACAGAAATACAAACTGCTGTCAGAGAATACTATAAACACCTCTATGCAAATAAACTAGAAAATCTAGAAGAAATGGATAAATTCCTCGACACACCGTCCCAAGACTAAACCAGGAAGAAGTTGAATCTCTGAATAAACCAATAACAGGCTCTGAAATTGAGGCAATAATTAATAGCTTACCAACCAAAAAAAGTCCAGGACCAGATGGATTCACAGCCGAATTCTACCAGAGGTACAAGGAGGAGCTGGTACCACTCCTTCTGAAACTATTCCAATCAATAGAAAAAGACGGAATGCTCCCTAACTCATTTTATGAGGCCAGCATCATCCTGATACCAAAGCCTGGCAGAGACACAACAAAGAAAGAGAATTTTAGACCAATATCCCTGATGAACATCGATGCAAAAATCCTCAGTAAAATACTGGCAAACCAAATTCAGCAGCACATCAAAAAGCTTATCCACCACGATCAAGTGGGCTTCATCCCTGGGATGCAAGGCTGGTTCAACATGCACAAATGAATAAATGTAATCCATCATATAAACAGAACCAACAACAAAAACCACACAATTATCTCAATAGATGCAGAAAAGGCCTTTGACAAAATTCAACAGCGCTTCATGCTAAAAACTCTCAATAAACTAGGTAATTGATGGGACATATCTCAAAATAATAAGAGCTATTTATGACAAACCCACGGCCAATATCATACTGAATGGGCAAAAACTGGAAGCATTCCCTTTGAAAACTGGCACAAGACAGCAATGCCCTCCCTCACCACTCCTATTCAACATAGTATTGGAAGTTCTGGCCACGGCAATAAGGCAAGAGAAAGAAATAAAGGGTATTGAATTAGGAAAAGAGGCAGTCAAATTGTCCCTGTTTGCAGATGACATGACTGTATATTTAGAAAACCCCATCGTCTCAGCCCAAAATCTCCTTAAGCTGATGAGCAACTTCAGCAAAGTCTCAGGATACAAAATCAATGTGCAAAAATCACAAGCATTCCTATATACCAATAACAGACAAACAGGGAGCCAAATCATGAGGGAACTCCCATTCACAATTGCTTCAAAGAGAATAAAATGCCTAGCAATACAACTTACAGGGCATGTGAAGGACCTCTTCAAAGATAACTACAAACCACTGCTCAGTGAAATAAAAGAGGACACAAATAAATGGAAGAACGTTCCATGCTCATGGATAGGAAGAATCAATATTGTGAAAATGGCCATACTGCCCAAGGTAATTTATAGATTCAATGCCATCCGCATCAAGCTACCAATGACTTTCTTCATAGAATTCGAAAAAACTACTTTAAAGTTCATATGGAACCAAAAAAGAGCCCACATTGCCAAGTCAATCCTAAGTCAAAAGAACAAAGCTGGAGGCATCACGCTACCTGACTTCCAACTATACTACAAGGCTACAGTAACCAAAACAGCATGGTACTGGTATCAAAACAGAGATATAGACCAATGGAACAGAATAGAGCCCTTGGAAATAATACCACACATCGAAAACCATCTGATCTTTGACAAACCTGAGAAAAACAAGAAATGGGGAAAGGATTCCCTAGTTAATAAACGGTGCTGGAAAAACTGGCTGGCCATATGTAGAAAGCTGAAACTGGATCCCTTCCTTACACCTTATACAAAAATCAATTCAAGATGGATTAAAGACTTAAATGTTAGACCTGAAACCATAAAAACCCTAGAAGAAAACCTAGGCAATACCATTCAGGACATAGGCATGGGCAAGGACTTCATGTCTAAAACACCAAAAGCAATGGCAACAAAAGCCAAAATTGACAAATGGGATCGAATTAAACTACAGAGCTTCTTCACAGCAAAAGAAACTACCATCAGAGTGAACAGGCAACCTACAGAATGGGAGAAAATTTCTGCAATCTACTCATCTGACAAAGGGCTAATATCCAGAATCTACAATGAACTCAAACAAATTTAGAAGAAAAAAACAACCCCATCAAAAAGTGTGCAACAGGTATGAACAGACACTTCTCAAAAGAAGACTTTTATGCAGCCAAAAGACACATGAAAAAATGCTCATCATCACTGGCCATCAGAGAAATGCAAATCAAAACCACAATGACATACCATCTCACATCAGTTAGAATGGTGATCATTAAAAAGTCAGGAAACAACAGGTGCTGGAGAGGATGTGGAGAAATAGGAACACTTTTACACTGTTGGTGGGACTGTAAACTAGTTCAACCATTGTGGAAGGCAGTGTGGTGATTCCTCAAGGATCTAGAACTAGAAATACCATTTGACCCAGCAATCCCATTACTGGGTATATACCCAAAGGATTATAAATCATGCTGCTATAAAGACACATGCACACGTATGTTTATTGCGGCACTATTCACAATAGCAAAGACTTGGAACCAACCCAAATGTCCAACAATGATAGACTGGATTAAGAAAATGTGGCATGTATACACCATGGAATACTATGCAGCCATAAAAAAGGATGAGTTCATGTCCTTTGTAGGGACATGGATGAAGCTGGAAACCATCATTCTCAGCAAACTATCGCAAGGACAAAAAACCAAACACCGCATGTCCTCACTCATAGGTGGGAACTGAACAATGAGAACACATGGACACAGGAAAGGGAACATCACACACCGGGGCCTGTTGTGGGGTTGGGGGAGGTGGGAGGGATAGCATTTGGAGATATACCTAATGTTAAATGACGAGTCACTGGGTGCAGCACACCAACATGGCACATGTATACATATGTAACTAACCTGCACGTTGTGCACATGTACCCTAAAACTTAAAGTATAATAAAAAAAAGAAATTCTGATGCCAAAGAATATAATAAAATTAAAATTAGAAAAGATAAGTAAAAAATATGTCCACTGTATAATTCATCAAGGAGAAGAAAGAATCTGTAAACTTAAAGAAAGTTATTTGAAAATATACAGTTAGGAAAAAAAGAATAAAGAATAAAAAGGAATTTTAAAGGCTATTACCTATTGGATACAATGTTCACTATTCAGGTGATGGGTACACTAAAAGCCCAGACTTCACCACGACACAATATATACATGTAAGAAATCTGCAGTTATCTCCTCTAAATATGTAAAAATTTAAATTTTTTAATTCTGAAAAATAAAATAAATAAAGCCTACAGGATTTATGGGACAGCATCAAGAGTGTTATCATTTACATTATAGGAATTAAAAAAAAAGAAAAGAAAAAGGGGCAGAAAGCTTATTTGAAGAAATAATGGCTCAAAATGTCCCAAATATAGGGAAAGATATAAACATCAGAAAGATAAAACGTCTCCAAACAGGTACAACCCAAAGAATATTTCATCAAAATGTATTATAACCAAACTGTCAAAAATTAAAGACAAAAAGAGAATCTTGAAAGCAACAAAGAAAAGAGCTTCCTCACACAGAGAGAATCCCCATAGGGCTATCAGCAGTGAAAATTTTGCAGTCTAAGAGAGAGTAAGAAGATATTTTCAAAGTTCTGGAAGAAAAAAACTGCCAACCAAGAATACCTTACCCAGAAAAGTTGGTCTACAAAAATGAAGGAGTGATACTTTCTCTGACAAAAGCTCAGGGAGTTCATCATCATCAGGCTTGCCTTACAAAAATGATAAAGGGAGCTCTTCAATCTGAAATGAAAGGACACTAAGTAGTAACACAAATACATATGAAAGTATAAAACTCACTGGTGAAAGTGTGTATATAGTAAAATTACATACCATAATATTGTAACAGTAGTCTGTAAATCACTTATGTCTACAGAATAAAGGGTAAAAAACAAAATACCTATAGCTACAATAATTTCTTAATAAAATTCAATATAAAATATGTGAATTATAACATCAAAAACATAAAATGCTTAGAGGGGAGTAAAAGTATATCAACAAATCACAAAGGAAGATAGCAAACAGGGAATAAAAGAACAAAGGATCTACAAAACAGCTAAAAAGCAATTAACAGAATGGCAATAGTAAGTCCTTATTTATTAAAGGTAACTTGAGAGTAAATGGATCAAATTATTCAATTCAAAGACACAGAAGGGCTGAATGAATAAAAAAACAAGACTACCTGCTGCTTACTCACAGAATAAATGTGAAGGGATGTTAAGTAGATACTCCATGCAATTAGAAACCAATAAATGAGCAGCTGTGGCTATACTTGGACATCAGACCAGATACTTTAAATCAAAAACAGTCACAAGAGACAAAGAAGATTATTATATAATGAAAAAAGCTCAAGAGAATATAACAAATATATACACACCCAACATTGCAACACCTAAATATATAAAACAAATATTAATAGATCTGAAGAGAGAGATAGACAGCAATACAATAATAGCAGAGGCCTTCAGTACTCTACATTCAATAATGGACAAATCATCCAGACAGAAAACAAATAAGGAAACCTTACATTTTAACCACACTTTACACCAATGGACCTAACAGACATATACAAGATAGTCCATTCAACAGCAGGAGAATATAGAGCTTTCTCAAGTGCAAATGGAATGTTCTAAAGGACAGATCTTGTGTTAGGCCAGTAAGTCTTATAAAATTTAAGAAGGCTAAAATCATATCAAGTATTTCCCAATCACAGTGGCATGAAACTAGAAATCAATAACTGAAGAAAAATTGAAAGATTTACAAATATGTGGAAACTAACATACTCCTGAGCAATGGGTCAAAAAGAAAATCAAAAAGAAATCAAAAAATATCTTATGACACACAAAAATGGAAACATACCAAAATTTATGTGATGCAGCAAAAGCAGTTATTAAAAGGAAGATTATAGCAATAAAAACCTACATTCAAGCTGGGCACAGTGTCCCACACTTGCAATATCAGCTACTAAGGAGGCTAAGTGAGAGAATCACTTGAGGCCAGGAGTTTGAGGTTGGAGTGAGCTATGATCACATCACTCTACTCCAGCCTGGGCAACAGAGCAAGACCCTATCTCTAAATAAATAAGTAAATAAATAAAGTATACATTAAAAAAAGACAAAAGAGCTCAAATAACGTAATGTCACACCTCAAGGAACTAGAAAAAGAACAAACTGAGCCCAAAGTTAGTAAAAGGAAGGAAATAAGAGATTAGCGCAGAAGTACATAAAATAGAGACTAGAAAAATCATAGAAAAGTTCAACAAAACTAAGATTTGGTTTTTGAAAAGATAAACATAATTGACAAGACTTTAGCTGGACTAAGAAAAAACAGCAAGACTCAAGTAACATTGGAAAAGAAAGAAGAGACATAATAACTGATACCACAAAAATACAAAGGATAAAGACTACTGTGAACATTTATACACCCACAAATTAGATACCCTAAAATAACTGGATAATTCATAGACACATACAACCCACCAAGACTAAATCATGAAGAAACAGAAAGTCTGAACAGACTAGTAATTAATAAGAAGACTGACTCAGTGATAAAATCCCCCACTAAAAAAAAAAAAAGAAAAAACCAGGACCCAGTGGTTTTATGGCCTAATTCTACCCAACATTTAAAGAACTAGTAGAATCCTTCTCGAATTCTTCGAAAATCTTGAAGAGGAAGGAATACTTCTGAACTATTTTTCAAGGTTAGTATTACCCTAATACCAAAGCCAGACAAAGACGCTATGAGAAAAGAAAACACAGTCCAATATCTCTGATGAATATGGATACAAATATCTTTAACAAAATACTAGCAAACTGAATTGACAGCACATTAAAAGAATCATTCACTATGACCAAGTGGGACTGATCCCTGGGGTGCAAAGATGGTTCAAAATATGCAAATAAATGTGATATACTGTATTACTAGAATAAAATACAAAAATCATATGATAGCCTCAATATATGGGGAAAAACATTTGAAAAAATTCAACATTCTTTCATGACAAAAATAATAAATTAGATACAGAAGGAATGTACTTCAAAACAATAATGGCCAACTATCACAAGCCCACAGCTACACAGTCAACAGTGAAAAGTTGAAAGATTTTCCTCTAAGATGAAGAACAAGATAAAGATGCCCATTCTTGCCACTTCTATTCAACATAGTGCTGGAATTCCTAGCTAGAGCAATTAAGCAAGAAAAGAAATAAAAGGTGTCCAAATACGAATGCAAGAAATAAAATTATTTCTATTTGCAAAAAAAGAAAGAGGGACCATCCCTACCGACCACATGGACATAAAGGGACAATAAACAAATACTATAAATAACTTATGCTAACAAATTTGATAATTTAGATTATATGGACAAATTCTTGGAAACTCACAATCTACCAAAACTCACAAAGGAGAAATTGATATTATGAATAGGCCTATTTAAAAGAAATTGAATCAATAATTAATAACCTTCCAAAACAGCAGGTACTATGCTCAGATGGTTTCACTTGGCAAATTCTACCAAAATTTAACTAAGAAATTATGCCAATTCTTTATGATCTCTTCCAGAAGACAGAAACACAGAGAACATTTCCTGACTCATTCTATGAGGCCAGTATCACTCCAATACCAAAGCCGGACAAAGACATTACAAGAAAAGAAAACTACAGATGAATATCTTTCATGAATACATATGTGAAAATCCTCAACAAAACATTAGCAAATCACATACATAAATGTATAGAAAGAACTATACAACACAACCAAATGGGTTATTCCAGGTACGTAAGGCTAGTCCAATATTCAAAAATCAATTAATGTAATCTACATGCTAAAGAAGAAAAATCATATGATCATATCAATAAATGCAGAAAACGTATTTGACAAAATCTAACACCTACTCATAATTTTAAAAAACTCTTTGTAAATTATAAATAAAATAGAAGTAAGCTTCCTCAGTTTGATAAAGAAAATCTACAGAAAGTTTATAGCTAACATCATACTTACAGTGAAATCCTAAATGCTTCCTCCCTAAGATCAGGAAGAAGGCAAGCATGCCCATTTTTACCATGCTATTTAACATCATACTGGAAGTCCTAGCTAATGCAATAATATAAGAAAAGAAAATCAGAAGGAAGAAGTAACACTGTCTGTTAGATAATGTGACTGTCTCTATAGAATATCCCAAAGAATCACCAATATCTAGTAATAAACAATTATTGCAAATTTACAGGACACAAAAGTTAATTGCAATTGCTTTCCTATATACCAGCAATGAAGCATTTGTATTTGAATTTTAAATTATAGATATTAACACCATTTATAGTAGCACTGAAATTTCAACACTTCAGTGTAAATCTAAAAGAAAATATGTACGAGATCTATATGAGGAAAAGTTCATTACTCTGATGAAAGAAAGCAAATAAGATCTAAATAAATGGAGAGATATTTCAAGTTCATAGAATGAAAGATACAATATTGTTAAGATACAAGTTCTTGTCCATTTAATCCATAGATTCAATGCAATCTCAATCAAAATCCCAGCAAGGTATTTTTTGGATACCAACAAATTGTTTCTAAAGTTTATAAAGTTTAATAGACCCAGAGAAGTCAACACAATGTTGAAGAACAACAAAGTTGGAGGACTGACACTACCCAACTTCAATACTTACTAAAAGCTAAAGTAATCAAGACATGTAGCACTGCCAAAATAGACAGACAAGCAAACAGAATAAAGAGTCCAAAAACAGACTCACAAATATACGCAACTGATCTTTGGCAAAGGAACAAAGGCAACTCAATGAAGAAATAGTACTCTTCTCAACAAATGATGCTGAAACAACTGGACATCCAAATGCAAAAAAAAAAAAACAATGACTCTAGACATAGACTTTACAGTTCTCACAAAAATTAACTCAAAATGGGCTGGGCGCAGTGGCTCACGCCTGTAATCCCAGTACTTTGGGAGGCTGAGGCAGGCGGATCACGAGTTCAGGAGTTCGAGACCAGCCTGACCAACATGGTGAAACCCCATCTCTACTAAAAATGCAAAAATTAGCCGGGCGTGGTGGCGCACGCCTGTGGTCCCAGCTGCTAGGGAGGCTGAGGCAGGAGAATCACTTGAACAGGGAGGCGGAGGTTGCAGTGGGTCGAGATTGCACCATTGTACTCCAGCGACAGAGCGAGACTCCATCTCAAAAAAAAAAAAATTAACTCAAAATGGATCATAGTTATAAATGTAAAATGCAAAACTATAAAACTTTTACAAGGCAGTAGAAGAGACTATCTAGGTAACTTTGGGTTTGAAGATGAATTTTTACACACAACACCTAAAGCACAATTCGTGAAATAAAAAAAAAATGTTAAGTTTGACTTTATTCTGGCTCTGCAAAAGACACTGCTAAAAGAATGAAAAGATAAGCCACAGACTGAGAGAATATCTTTGCCAAATACATATCTGATACAAGGCTTGTATCCAAAATATAAAAAGAACTCTTAAAACTCAACAATAAGAAAACGAATAACCCAATTTTTAAAATGGGTAAAAGACCTGAATACCTCACCAAAGAAATGAAACAGATGGCAAATAAGCTTATGAAAACATGCTCAACATCATGTATAATCATGGAACTGCAAATGAAAACAATGAAAAATCACTACACAACTATTAGAATGGCTAAAAGCCCAAACACTGTCAATTCTAAATGCTGACAAAGATATGGAGCAACAAGAATTCTCCTCAATTGCAGGGGGGAATGCAAAATGGTACAGCCCCTTTGCACGCTTATTTGGCAGTTTCTTATAATGCTAAACAACTCTTATTATATGACTTAGCAGTCATGCTCCTTTGTGTTTACCCAATTGAGCTGAAAACTTACATCCACACAAAAACCTGAACAAAAGTGTTGATAGTAGCTTTATTTATAATTGCCAAAACGTGGAAACAACCAAGATGCCCTTTCATAGGTAAATGGATAAATTGTAGTAAATCCATAAATTGATTATTTATCAGCAATTAAAAAGAAATAAACTGTCAAACTATTGAAACTTTGACAAACTATTGAAACACAGAGGAACTTTAACTGTACATTGTTAGGTAAAAGAAAGACTAATAATATCAAATATACAACATTCTTGAAAAGGAAATACTACAGAAACAGTAAATAAACAGATTAGTGGTTTCCAGGGATTCAGGTGGATGGAGGAAGAGGTGAATAGGTGGGACACAGGGGATTTTGGGGGCAATTAAACTATTCTGTGACACTGTAATGGTGGATCCAAGACATGATACATTTGTCAAAACCCACTGAGCTGTACAAGGCAAAAAGCAAACCAGATGTAAACTATGGACTTTAGTTAATAATAATGTATCAAAATTGGTTCATCAACCATAACAAATGTATCACATTAATGCAAAATGTTAATAACAGGGGAAGCTTTATGCGGGAATGGGGGGACTGCACTAATGGGAGCTCTGTAATTTCTGTTCAATTTTTCTGTGAACCTAAAACTTCTCTAAAAAATAGTCTATTAATTATTAAATGAAGCAACATCAAGATGAAATTGTGACCTGAAAGCAAAACCAGAGTGCAATACAAAGGTAGCTTTTGTCTTGCTGGCCAGGCTATAAGATTTAATAGAATTTAGAAAACAGGAAGGGAAGAGAGGATTAAGTGTGGCCAGAGAAGAAGACAGGAGGTACTTTTAAAAGAAAATTATGGTAAACAAGTGAAATACAGCAACAGAGAAAGACAGTAGGTCAATACTAGTAAAGCTAAGAACCTGAAACAACTGCCACTGAAAAAAGATCTTACGAATTTGCAAAGCATTTTCTCCATATTGTACAATATAATTCTGTCCTCTGTTCCCCTTTAGAACCATGAGCAAAATCTCAACTATATTTTATCCTTTTGAAATGTGGTTTTATGATTGGAAGATGTATTCCATTAGACTATAAGTGGGTACAGGGATTTCTGCTTTCATCCATGATGGAGCATCAGGGACCAGAATTACTTTTCTACTTTAAACCACTTAAATACTGGACAAAAATACATGAAACAGTGGTATTCAGAAATTGGAAAACAGTGAATGCAGTACATATGGAAATAAAGTGGAAAGGCCCTGTGATGACCCCAGTTTGCTGTCTAGAATTGCCAGTCCACAGTGTAGGGAAGGGGAACTCAGAGCATACTGGTCACCTTGAGTTTAGGAAACAAAGTTCAGTGTTTGTGGAAGCCAAGGTACAATATTAGAAGGAAGGCAACCATACAGATTGAGAGAGAGAAAAAGAGAGAGCTCTTGAGAGGTCCATAGATGTACAAAGGATTCCCCTCGATGTATACAGAGGTTTTCACTATCTACTCCTAAGTTCTATATACCTTTCTACCCCACCTAGTCAGTCAGAGCTCTCTTCAACCAGAAATCTCTATAGAACTTGGGAGTGCTGTAAGATGTGCAGCTGTCCTTGGTTTAAACATGGCAACGTTTGGGTTTAAAGCTGAAGTTGAAAGAGGGCAGAATTCCCAGCAACCTGTTCCAAGCAAATATTATTTTCTACTTTTGAACTGTATTCCATAGTGTGCTTTACACTATTATTTCAAAATTCTCTCCAGCCCTAAGACACAAGTAAGTTAATTTCCTTTCTATTGACAAATAGTCATAAACTTAACATACAAGCTCTAGCAGTTCTTTATATTCCTGAACTGACAACTACTCATCTGCAGTCAAAGCATTTGTGGATATAATTCCTAGTAACAAAATCTACAAACTATTTAAATTTATCACTGCCACACCTCAAAGGCCTGCCAACATTTCAGTAGTACGTTCTAATCACAACTCAAAATTCTCCATTCCATGTACTAACATGCACTCCTCAAAAATTAATCTAGGCCGGGCGCAGTGGCTCACGCCTGTAATCCCAGCACTTTGGGAGGCCAAGGCAGGCAGATTACCTGAGGTCAGGAGTTCAAGACCAGCCTGGCCAACATGGTGAAACTCTCTCTACTAAAAAAAAAAGAAAAAAAAATACAAAAGTTAGCTGGGTGTGGTGGTGCATGCCTGTAATCCCAGCTACTTGGGAGGCTGAGGGACGAGAATCACTTGAACCCAGGAGGCAGAGGTTGCAGTGAGCTGAGATCATGCCACTGCACTCCAGCCTGGGCAACAGAGCAAGACTCTGTCTCCAAAAAAAAAAAAAAAAAAAAAAAAAAAAAAGAATCTAGTTTCAGTAACACGTATCCTTAACTAAGAATTTCAATACTTGCTTGACAACCAGCTCAACTATATGGCTCCAAACTCCAAGGCAAGGAGTCTGCACTGTTAACCTAATAATTATTACTTTATAGAAATTAATGTAACAGAGGTTATTATCACAATAATGCTTTAATGAGTGGAAACTTACGTGGTTCTGTTGCAGAAACATCTTTAAATTCATCAGTTGAGTGGGCTTCTAAGAATTCTGAAGTAAAAGTGTATTTGTCACTATAAACTTCAAACGGCAATTATATATACTAATTGAGTTTAAATTTTATTGTTTTAATTTTAGTAACTTATTCAGAAGAAAGAAAACTTTGAAAAAATAATAACTGCCAACACTGCAGATCTTCCTAATCAGGTAAGAAATGGTAATATTTAAAAGAATGTGTGTAACAGCTGATTATAAACATCACTTTCTCATCAAAACTTGTTTTTGCTCTTGTATTCTCTTATATTCATTGATGGTACCATCATTATCTAGTCTTCCTTCCTTCCATATCCAATCATCAACTTTCAAGTAAATATTTCTCAAACCTGACTCCCTTCTTCTTTTCACTAGTCTCTGAATATAGGTACTGATCACACATCTAAGGTATAATAACTTCCCTTTCCTACTCCTAGTCCCCAAATCTAGCTTCTACAGTGCAATCAGGAAAAAACTTCTCTAAAATTAAATCCTACAAAAAATCTTCAATGATTATTATTTTTGAAAAAAGTCTAAGCTCCTTAGCAGAGCATCCATTCCCACTATGACTAGGCCCTCTGTTACTTCATCCCTATATATTGCTTCTTACTCTAATACCAATCCAGTTGTAATTCTCTATGCATGTTGTTTGTTCATGCTATTGTCTTCTTAAAATACCAAATATTTCCCTTCTTTACTTGACTAAATCCTATTCACCCTTTAAAGTTGCATAAAGCCTTCTAACTCCTTAGGTTGAACAGATTGCTCCTTTCTGTGGACCCAATGCAAATTCCACATACCTTTATCATGCATGACACTGTACTAACATGCTAGATAATGTACTTGTATCCTTACTAAGCTGTAAATTTTATGGAAGTAACAACCACATTGTTGTCTGTATAGGGGATACACATTGTATTCATTTTGTATGTTCCCAGAATTTGGAACATAATAAAAACTTTTATTAAAATATCAAACTCACTATTAAGTATTATCTAAATTTACCATTGTATAATTTTATAACTGTAAATTTTTAACTTTAAGTCTCAAAATGTTCATACACTTAGGAAACCCCACAAAAGTCAAACATGCCGGGCATGGCGGCTCATGCCTGTAATCCCAACATTTTAGGAGCCCGAGGTGGGAGGATCACTTGAGGCCAGAAGTTCAAGACCAGCCTGGGCGACATAGTGAGACCTCCATCTGTACAAAAAAAAAAAAATCAGCTGGCCTCAGTGGCCTGTGCCTGTGGTCCTAGCTACCTCAAAAGGCTGAGCAGAGAGGATCACTTGAGCCCAAGAGTTTGAGGCTGCAGTGAGCGATATTCATGCCACTACACTCCAGCATGGGTGACAGAGTGAGACCCTCTCTTTAAAAGATAAAAATAATAACAAAATTTTTAATAAAATTTTTAAGGATAAACATATATAAAATATTATCACCTTCAATTTTCTGTGCCAGAGCTTCACAACTTTTCACTGCTTCTGGTCGATTTTCTTTATCCCTGTTAAAGTTCGATAAATGAAATATTTTTTAATATATCAAAGAGTAAGAGTTTAAATTACACTAAAATAACTAAAATGTGAAGTCCAGACATATGAAGTTTGTAGAATAAAAATTAAACATATCTTTAATCTTTACTCACAGACACTAAGGTAAACTTACAAGTTACAAGTTGAAAAGTCAAACTAAACTATGTAATTATATGAATTCCATGTAGGCCATGAATATAATTAAGTATACCAAAAACATTCACAACAAAAACAGCAAAAATAAATTGTTAGAAACATGAGGTATCTTTTTGTCGAAGTATTATTATCAATCGTATAATGATGAAGGACATAAGTTCCGGAGTGAGACTACCTGACCTTTGGGTCAAAACCTGTTTCATCCATTTACTAATTATATGACCTCAGCCAGGTATATTACTTAACCTCTATTGGCTTCAGTTTATTCTCATTAAAATTGGGGTATAATAGTACCTTTCTCATAAAGTAGTTATGAAAATCAAAGATTATACATGTAAAGTTACTACAAAAATCGCTAGTACACAGCAGACACTTAAATGTCAAGTATGAATATGGTCTAAACCTTAATCTTTGAACCAAGGATCTACTTATGCAACCCCCAGGAGCCAACTCAAGTACCACTCTCTTCATTATTTTCAGTTATTGACAGAGATATCACTAAAGTAACTGCATAACTAGTGGCCCCTCCCAACTATGGGTATGTATATTCTATTTTAACACAAAAAAAGAATGTTTTATCTGTCTAATGCAAAAACATGGTTGCTTATAAATGTAAAAATTTTACTTGATAAGCTGTTAATATAATTAATGAAGGTGTTCATGAACAATGAAGTATTTCATTAGATCTTAGTTTCCTATTTATTACTAGGAGTTTCCTAATCAAACTGAGAGAAGAGTTTATAAGCCAGATATTTCAAAGCTAGCAATGTCCAATATAACTTTCTAATAACAGCCACATGTAGGTACTAAGCACTTTAAATGCGGCTAGTGTGACTAAGAAACTGATTTTCTACATTGAATTTGCATAGCCACATGCAGCAAATGTCTCCTGTATTGTACATCTCAGATTATTTAAAATTGCAAATAGAAACAAGCTGACTAGACCTGATTTGACTAAGAAGCTCTGTGTATAGCCATCATATCTGACCCATTATCTTACATTCAGTGCTAATTATATACCCTTTCTTACTGTTTTTAATTCAATTAGTTCTTATATTTCACTTACATAGTTTTAGACAACATGACTTTCACGGAGGATTTAGACCTCTGTTTAAGGCGATTCTTCAGTTCTTCAAATCTTTGTACAAGCCTTACTATTTCTGCAATATTTAAAATGACTGTTTTGTCAGGTTTTGGAGGCTCTGCTTGTAAAAGAGTTTGATCTTTACTTATCTAAAATAATAAAATTAACCAGTTATTTAGTAAATACCCATTTTGTTCCCATACCTCAAATAAATTTCATTATCTCCTTTATTAAATCAAAGTAATTTTTATATTTTTCTTATCTATAGCTATAGCCAAGTAATGATACAATATTTTACAAATATATTTATATGAGCAATTATCTATGAATAGAACTATAGCTCAGTGATGGCTTTTACATGTAAAGCCTGAAATCTAACTGTCTGTTTATTGCTTTAATATATAGGAATTTTAAGCAAGTCCAATAACAATAAATGCAACTCAAAATATTTACAAGAGTCATTCTAAATTGTTTCCCATAAATTCTTTTTAAGAATACCCTTACTGTAGTAAATTATCTAAAGACAGTAATTTTCTCTCAAAGGCTAATACTGTCTATTACTAACTCCCAGAAGTTAAAATATAAAGATCTATGGAACTAGCATTTTTCCAGTCTGCATGGGGAAGACTGTGACATATTTGGCTGTCTTGAGACCTTTGGAATAGATCAAGCTAAAAAATAACAAGCCGTGGAAAGAAACAGCAAGATTCACAGAATAAGATGACCATAATTACTATTCTAGGTAATAAGTTTACTTAAAGAAAATTCAGCAAGAATGAGTGTCCAAAAACCACAGCAAAAGAAACCTACAAACAGCCAATGTGTGGAGACATAAACAAGCAGAATAGCAATTGGGGTCAGCAAGTTTTGATAGGAAAATGGCACAAGAGTAATGTTAAAATAATTGCTTGCCCTAAATTCAGAGATCCACCCATGTAGACATCTCCAATCCTTATGCTAGGAGGAAAAGTTGGGGAAAAAATGAAGTCAAGGACTTCGCAAAGATAAATTCTAGCACTGGGGATTTAGAACAGAGACTTCATTTTTGTAATGACTGGAATGAGAGTAGGATATAACAGCAGAAGTGAATGCTGGGCAATGCACTAGAAGTCTGAGCTTGGGTATAGGGAAGATATGGCAAGGAACACAGAATAGGTGGAAGAGAAGCAGGAGACCTAAGGAAATTCTATAGACAAAGAAAATATTCCAAATAAGAAGCCGCAAATCATAAATTGAGTCAAAAATAATGTCATCAATTTACTGCATCTCATCTCAAAAATCTATTCTTCATTGTCTTGTCTGTGATAGTGGAATATTTCTTCCCTGACAGGTGGCCTGATGTTAGCCTTTTTCAGTAGAGGGTCCTGAAGAGGCACTAGAAGAGGAAGAAGATTTTCTTCCTAGTTCTGTGTATCTCTCTCTGCTTCTTCCTCAGGTAGTGTGTAGTATATTTTATAGTACTCACCCCCAGAAAATTTCAACAGCATCACCTGATGGATGGCTTCCTGGTAAGGTCCCTGGCATGGCAGATTCCTATGGGCAGCTTCCCCCAGAACTTCGTAGCAAAATCCACCAGTGCAGAGCCTCCCTTAGGGAAGTTTTCCAACATATCACCCTTGTGAACAGCTTCCCAGCAGGAAGTACAACACCTCTCTGGAAGGTGGCTTTTCCTAGCATCACAGAGGGCAGATTCCTAAGTGTACCACCCTCATGGACACCTTCCCAGTGAGTTCGAGCTCCACCAGCCTTGCAGCCCAGCAGACTTCTCTGCCATGTAGTGATGAAAGCTGCTCCCTCTTCAGAAGTTCTGCATCTTAGCCCTGCGTTGCTGGGAGGGAATGATTGGGGATATTCATATTCTGATTCCATCCTAGGAGTTGAAGTTGTTCCCTCTATCTTCTACTCCTGTATTCATTAGAATTATCTTTACTCCTTTAGTAGAATGTCTATCAATATCCTTTAGTAGATATTCCTCTGTTACAATAATTCTTTATATTAAACTTTCCCTAACCAAATTACTGTGTGGTTTTTGTCCCTTGATTAGACTCTCGATACATCACATTTCCCAATACAGATTAAATTTTAACAGAAGTCCTTTCTGGGAAAAAAGATAAAGGCACAGAACTAAAAGAGTATGGAATAGATAGTGGGTTATCAGCTAAACGGTTTCTTCAGAAAGATCTTTGGGGCACAGATTCCAGCAAGACAATTCTGAAGTGTACAGGCTACTGTAGGTTCAGCCTACATTTCTCTGGTGTAGCTCACCATATTCTCTAATAGTTTCCACATGTATCTCTGTTAATGCAACATGTAATGCAAAATGATCACTGACATTAACCTTACCAGCATGTACTAACAATAAATTATGTCAGCAGTAAAAAGATTATCACAAGATTCTCAAATGTTAGTGTGCATAAGAATCCCTTGTTTCCTACCTGTTGAAGCAGTAGACTCCTAACTCAGAGACTCACAAAAGAAATCTAATCCAGTAATGTGCACTTATAACAGGTATCTTGGCTGACATTTAAACGTGTTCTATCAACTACACTTTAAGAAACATTCCTTGAGGTGCCCTCTCCCAGCACTCCTATTCAACACAGTATTGGAAGTCCTGGTCAGAGCTATCAGACAAGAGAAAGAAATAAAGGCATCCAAATAGGAAGAGTGGAAGTCAAACTATTCCCATTTATAGACAACATAATCCTATATCTAGAAAACCCCAAAGTCTTGGCCCAAAAGTTCCTTCAGCTGATAAACAGCCTCAGCGAAGTCTCAAGATACAAAGTCAATGTACAAAAATCACTAGCATTCCTATACATCAACAACAGTCGAGCCAAGAGCCAAATCAGGAATGCAATCCCATTCACAATTGCCACAAAAAGAATACCTAGGAATACAGCTAACCAGGGAGGTGAACAATCTCTACAAGGGGAACTACAAAACACTGCTCAAAGAAATCAGAAATGACACAAACAAATGGAAAAACATTCCATGTGCATGGATAGAAAGAATCAATATGGTTAAAATGGCAATACTTTCCAAAGCAATTTATAAATCCAATGATATTCCTATCAAACTAACAATGAAATTCTTCACAGACCTAGAAAAAATCTATTTTAAGCTCATATTGGAACCAAAAAAGAGCCCAAAGAGCCAAAGCAATCCAAAGCAAAAAGAACAAATCTGGAGGCATCACACTACCCGACTTCAAACTATACTACAGGGCTACAGTAACCAAAATAGCACGGTACTGGCACAAAACCAGACACATAGAGCAATGGAACAGAATAGAGAAGCCAGAAATAAGGCTGCACACCTACAACTATCTGATCTTCGACAAACCTGACAAAAGCAAACAATGAAGAAAGGACTCCCTATTCAATAAATGAGGCTGGGATAACTGGTTAACCAAGTGCCGAAGATTTAAACGGGACTCATTGCTTACACCATGTACAAAAATTAACTCAAGATGAATAAAAGACTTAAATGTAAAACCCAAAACTATAAAAATTCTGGAAGACAACCTAGGCAATACCATTCTGGACATAGGAATGGGCAAAGACTCCATGAAGATGCCAAAAGCAATTGCAACAAAAGCAAAAATTAACAAATAGGATCCAATTAAACTTAAGAGCTTCTGTGCAGCAAAAAAAACTACCAACAGAGTAAACAGGCAACCTAGAAATTGGGAGAAAACATTTGCAAACCATTCACCTGACAAAGGTCTAATATCCAACATCTATAAGAAACTTAAGCATATTTATAAGACACAAACAAACAACACCATTAAACAGTGGACAAGGCCGGGCGCAGTGGCTCACGCCTGTAATCCTAGCACTTTGGGAGGCTGAGGCGGGCAGATTGCCTGAGATCAGGAGTTCGAGACCAGCCTGGACAACATGGTGAAACCCCGTCTCTACTAAAATACAAAAAAAAAAAAAAAATTAGCCGGGCATGGTGGCATACACCTGTAGTCCCAGCTACTTGTGAGGCTGAGGCAGGACAATTGCTTGAACCCAGGAGGCAGAGGTTGCAGTGAGCGGAGATTGTGTCACTGCACTCCAGCCTGGCGAGGGAGCAAGACTCTGTCTCAAAAAAAAAAAAAAGTGGACAAAGGACATGAACGACGCTTTTCAAAAGAAGACATACACGGGGCCAACAATCATATGAAAAAAAGCTCAACATCACTGATCATTAGAGAAATGCAAATCAAACCACAATGAGATACCACCTCATACCAGTCAGAATGACTATTATTAAAATGTAAAAACAAAAAATAAAAGATGCTGGCAAAGTTGTGGAGAAAAAAATGCTTATACATTGTTGGTGGGAGTATAAATTAGTTGCCTGCTGTGGAAAACAGTGTGATGATTCCTCAAATATCTAAAAACAGAACTACCATTTGACCCAGCAATCCCATTACTGGGTATATACCCAAGGGAAAATAAATCATCCTATCATAAAGACACGTACATGTGTATGTTCACTGCAACACTATTCACAATAGCAAAGACATGGAATTGGCCTAAATGTCCATCAGTGGTTGACTGGATAAAGAAAACGTGGTACATATATACCATGGAATACTATTCAGCCATATAAATGAATGAGATCATGTCTTTTGCAGGAACATGGATGGAGCTGGAGGCCATTATCCTTATCAAACTAGCACAGGAACGTAAAACCAAATACTGCATGTTCTCACTTATAAGTGGGAGCTAAATGATGAGAACTCATGAACACAAAGAAGGAAACAATAGACACTGGGGTCTACATGAGGGTGGAGGTTGGGAGGAAGGAGAGGAGCAGAAAAGATAACTGTTGGGTACTGGGCTTAATATGTGGGTGATGAAATAATCTGTACAACAAATATCTGTGACATGAGTTTACGTAAATAACAAACCTATACATGTACCCCTGAACTTAAAATAAAAGTTTACAAAAAAAAAAAAAAAAGAGAGAGAAACACTCCTTGAAAAACAGTACATAATACAAACCTTTAGATCATATATCTGGTACACCAAATTAATAAAATATTAAAGATAAGTAATTATGGGTTTAAACATTGAAAAACTTGAAATTCCAGATCAGAAGTATACTGTGCAGTGGGGATTCCTCCTGGTGATTATGAATGCACTGGTTGGGATTTCAGGCAAAATGGATATGATAGTAACCAACAATAAGGTGTAGACACAGAGAAAAGTGGACACATCTGACAGTTATTTAGAAAGTAAAACCCAGAGGACTTGTGGATAGATTAAATATCAGGAATAGATGGAAGTGAGTTGTCAGGAATGGTTTCCACATTTCACATTTACCCAATTTGATAAATAGTACTCATTCACTAAGATAGGGAACACTAGAAGAGATATGAGTTTAGGAGTAAAAATTCATATTTCTGACCCATTGCATCTGAGGTGGAATAGTCTAGTAAGTAATTATATACAAAGCCTGGAGTTCAGGGAAACATTTTGAGCAAGAGGTTTATGTTTCTAAATTACATGCATAAAGGTAATACTTGAATGGAAAAACTGGATGAGACTGCCTAGGGAGAAAGTTTGGAGTAAAAAGAAAAAAGGCATAGGATAAAACTTTGAGGTACTCCAACATTTACTGGTTGGGTTTAGGAGGGGACTCTAAAAAGAAGACAGCCAAAGAGGTAAAACAATAGCCAGGAAAATGTAATTCACAGAAGCCAAAGGACTAGTGTTTCAAAAATGAGGGCACGATCAATAATATTAACTATAGCTGAGGCAAAAAAAAAAAAAAAAGTCTGTTTAATTTAACAACATACAACTTACTGGGAACCATATGGAGAGAATGTTTTACTTGTTAGGGAGACAGAATTCAGTCTGGATAGATTGAGAAATGTTTGGGAAGTAAGAGCATAGTGTATAGTAAATGAATATAAAAATAAATGTGGCTCTGAATGGGTGACACATGCTCCATGGCTAAACTCTTAAGGGTTATTATAGGAAATCCATTAACAACTCTAACTGTTTTACTTAATAACCTTAGTTGTCTCTTACAAGGAAAGAGTGCCCAGATTAATCTTTTCACTAGGTGCCAGTTTATTCGTTGAATACTTTAAAAAAAAAAAAAACTAGTTTCATTGTTCAAAGACTGTCTACTCTATTTTTCTCCTACTCACTTATAAACCAGTTTTGCCTTTACACCCTGATAATAATCTAATGATTGTTTCCCTAATATGAGTAAATTTGCATACAAAATAATTTTTTTAAAAACAGGCTAATAAAGGACATGGAAATAGGCCTTTAGAGAGGAATGTGGATCAAATAAGAGATAGAAGAGCATATTTAAAAACTGAAAAGAAGGATAAATTGAATGAGAGAAACTGAATATACAAGAGAGAATAATTAATCAAAGTTCTTGAGAGGGCACGGCAGGGCACAGTGGCTCACGCCTGTAATCCCAGCACTTTGGGAGGCGGAGGCAAGGGAATTGCATGAATCCAGGAGTTCAAGACTAGCCTGGGCAACATGGCAAAACCCCATCTCTACTAAAAAAAATACCAATTAGCCAGGCATGGTGGCTCATGCCCGTGGTCCCAGCTACTTGAGAGGCTAAGGTTGGAGAATCACCTGAGCCCGGGAGGTCAAGGCTTCAGTGAGCCGAGATCAAATCACTGCAGTCCAGCCAGGGCAACCAGAATGAGATCAAGTTCTCAAAAACACAAACAAACAAACAAACAAACACAAAGTCTTGAGAAGGCAAGAGGATATGAAATCCAAAACAGAAGTGAAATAATTAGTCATATGTATAAGAAAGAACAATATATCTGTCTTAACAGGAAAAAAGAAAGAGAAAATGAGTACAGACGTTAATATTGTGTTAGGTAGCAGGAATTGAAGGAGTTCCAACCAACAGCTTGTATTTAGAGCATTCCAAGTGTTTGGTGGCCAGAGCAGTATTTAAAGTAATAATTGGAAAAACAGAAATTTACAGTTCAAGAATAAGTTGCCTAAATTAGTAATTTTTAAAAAGTAATTTAGTTAATGACAAGTTCCAGAGTGTGACTGGAAGTGGAGGCCAAGAGATCTTTGGAGATGAGGAAGTCAAGAAAGTGAGAAGCCAGGGTTTTGGATAGGTCATGTACATTGACAGGACTGAGTGCAAAAGAAGAGTAAAAGTAAACCCATTAATAAAATAATAAAAAGAGGTTGATGGATGAAAAGAAGATGACAAGATGAATTTCCAAAGTTGCAAAGAAGAACACATTTTAAAAGAGGGTAGAGGAATAGTAGACTTCACTCTACCCCTACTTCTCTGGAAGGATAATGACCTCTATGCCATAATCAAAGAATGACTAACACTTTTCCAATGTCAGTCAAATGTATCCTAAAGCAAACAGCATATAGACCATGAAAGTCTTCTGTTCTGGGACCAGAGATAAAAACAATGAGAAGATGCTAGGATATAGTCACAGTTCATGCATTTAAGGTTCTATCTATATTTATCCTTTAAATACCCCCAAATAAACTGGCCTCTTTTCTTTGAAAAGCCTGGGCTTCAAGAGTGTTTAATTGGACTGAACCATAAGTGTGACCAAATGAGAACTAAAATAATACTGTAAATCAGTAAAGCTACCCTGGAAATCATTCTAATATACTGACAGCATATATAAAGTATTTTCCAAAGTAGAATTAAAAGCCCCTAAGGACAGAGACCAGTAGTTCTCAAACTAATGGCAAAGTGCCTGAATCAAAAGTGTAAAAGAACATCATTAAAATAACATATTTCATCTATAGAAAATCAATACATAATTTTATGTCTACACATACATAATCATTTAGCATGATTTTTTAAAATATGGTAGAAATATTTAAAGTGAAAGGTTCTCTCATCACCCTTTTATGTAAATTGGAAAAAATAATAACTTAGTTTCCATTATTCAATTTTAGGAAAAAAAATGTGTCAGTCAAACTTGGAGTATACCAGATATATGCAGGGATATAGGGTGTAGGTCACTGAGAAATATTTTATCCCATCCACTTATTCCTTGTCTACCCAAACCAAAAGGTTACTTTATAACCAACAGTTATTCAAAAATGACTTATACATACTTAACTTATACATAATCCAAATTGCTTTTCAAATGAGTTAAAAAATATTAACTTAACAATTTTAAAACGTTAGACTTACTTCTTCCATCTGATTGACCTGCCACTGAAACCACTTTAAGAAAACAAAAGAGGGACAAAAAAAGAAATAGTGACTACTTAAATTGCACTGATGAAATAAATATCTATATAAATGTGTGTCTGTGTCTCTGAATCTTCATCCATCAAATATCAGCCCTGACCGAAACATCACTTGGGATTCAGAATGGGGCTAATGCACTATACAAATGAACATAAAATTCTTAAATATATAGAGCAGCAAGTATGGAATTCCTTCTACTCCCTTAAAATTTAGAAACCTCTTCTTCATTGGCATGTATTTCTGTGTTAAGTTTTAGTAGGCTTAAGCTGTAATATATTGAACGTACCTTAAAAAGAGATTCCAAAATCTGAAAAATAAAGTTTTAATTAACACATTTAAAATTAGAATGCTTCACAATGTATAATATAATATTTAGTTCAGTCTTTTGCAATTTTCAATCACAAAAATGTACTAAGTATTAAAATATAACTTTATAAATCTGTAGTTGAAACTTAAAATTTTTTATTTACAGACAGTGCTTTTAGTTCACCTTGCATAGACAACTTCTTTCTAGAATTTAAAAATAATTTTTCTTTTTATATATAAAAAGGGAGAAAGAGGGAAAGAGAGACAGAATCTCACTGTCACCCAGGCTTGAGTGCAGCGGTGCACTCATAGCTCACTATAACGTTGAACTCCTGGGCTCAAGTGATCCTCTTGCCTCAGCCTCCTGAGTAGCTAGGACTACATGGGCACACCCCCATGCCTGGCTAATTTTTAATTTTGTTTTTAATAGGGATGGAGTTTGGCCATGTTGCCCAGGCTGGTCTCGAACTCCTGGCCACAAGCAATCCTCCCATGTCAGTCTCCCAAAACACTGAGCATGAGCCATCATGCCTGGCCCTAATATATCTATATTAGGTGGCCCCCAAACAATTCCCAAATTTATTTCATATATTTTCTTAATATAGGTAAGGAGGCTGGGTGGGGTGGCTCATGCCTGTAATCCCAGCACTTTGGGAGGCCAAGGCAGGTGGATCACCTGAAGTCGAGAGTTCAAGACCAGCCTGACCAACATGGAGAAACCCCGTCTCTACTAAAAATACAAAAATTAGCCAGGTGTGGTGGTGCATGCCTGTAATCCCAGCTATTCAGGAGGCTGAGGCAGAAGAATCACTTGAACCCGGGAGGCGGAGGTTGCGGTGAGCCGAGATCACGCCATTGCACTCCAGCCTGGGCAACAAGAGCGAAACTCCATCTTAAAAAAAAAAATGTACATATGTGCATATATATATATGTATATATATATATATATATACATATATATATATATATATATACACACACACACACACACATATATGTAAGGAATAAAATTTAAATTCCTTTCAGAGGAGCATTATATTTTTTTCATACAGCAGCAAGTACAATAACAAAAAGCATCACCTTCCCAACACTATCTTCTCAATACAACTCTGTTCCTGCTAAACGGTCTAGAAAATCAAGATATAAAATATAATACTACTTAATATTTTTAATGAAAAATGCAAATTACTTGTTTGAGAAATTACAAGAGAAACTGACTAAATATACAAAAACCAATAGAAACTGAACTCCACATACACCTACAACCATTCTGTTTTTCACTTTCAGTACAGTATTCAATAAGTTTCATGAGCTATTCAACACTTCCTTATAAAATAGGTTTTGTGTTAGATGATTTTGCCCAACTGCAGGCTAATGTCCAGTGTTCTCAGCACATTTAAGGTAGGGTAGGCTAAGTTACAATGTTTGGTAGGTCAGGTGTATTAAATGCACTTTCACCATATGAAAAATTCAACTTATGATGGGTTTATCAGTATGTAACTCCCTCATAAGTTGAGGAGCATCCATACACAGTTCAAAATATCAGTATTTACCATTTAAATATCTAATGTTAAAGTGATTACATTTGCTACAAAAACAAAAACCCCACCCTATCAAATTGGGTAAAAGTTTTCAATTACATTATTAAAGTAAAATGTTACTACGTGCATTCAGGGAGTAACATAAGATTGAACAAAAATTAAACTAGATAAATTAAATTTATCTTCCGCAACACTAACTCTAGATCTGTGGTTCAAAAAGTAAGGAGCCACAGCAACAGCATCAGCACCACCTACAAGCATACTTATTAGTACTGAAAATTCTCAGGCCCCACGCTACCCTACTAAATCAGAAATTCTAGAAGTGGGACTAACAATTTGTGTTGTAACTAGACCTGCAGGTGATTGCTTTGCATGCTAAAGTCTGAGAATCACTAAGCTAAATAAGAAAGCATAAATCTACGCAAAAAGTGCTGAGATCCTTCAGAAAATATACCAAAGCAAATTAATGTCTGTGTCAGAAGAAAAATATTTTCAGCTACGTAAGTGTTTAGAAATAATGTCCACTAAAGCACATTATACCTAGGAATAACTAATTCTTTCCACTGTCAAGAAAGATTCCGGGGTTCTCAAAACTTCCCTTCCTGCACTGGAACCTGATGGGAAACTTTAGCGTATATCAATTCAACCACTCATTGTAGCCATAGTTCTACAATAATTTAAACCACTCCTAGTTTAACGAGAACAGTGCCTTTCTCAATTACTGAGGAAACCCACAGCATCAATTACTGATACTGCTAAATCTAGATCATTGTTGATAAAAATGAGTGAAAAATAAAAACTGATCCACTGTGAAATGCCTTTTTATTTTGTAATGATTTGTTTAATCATTTACTTACTGATAAGTAGACATTATCTATATAATCTAGATAATCCTTCATGTGATTAAATACACATATACGTCAGGTATACATGATCCAAATTTTGCCCCTGTTTGAAATTTCTCTTGCCCCTCTCTTTATGAATTATTTATATACAGAGCTTATAAATTTAATATAGGTGAATTTATCAATATTGCCTTTTATGATTTGTATTTGTTTTGTGATTGTTTCTTGCTCCAGGTCATATACTTACATCATCAGTATCATATTTGATCATATATCAAATTAGTTTTTTCCTTTATAAATAACCAGTTGTCCCAAAGCCATTTATTATACTGCTGGCTCTGTCATCAACAAAATTTTCCATATATAAAAGGGTCAATATCTGAGACTTTGTTCAATTTCATCAGTTCATCCAGGCTTGCACCAAAAGCACATAATCATAATTGATATAGCTGCATAATGAATCTTGATATCTGTTAGGGTAGGTCCTTTGGCCTTGTTCATTTTCTTCAGGACTCACTTGGTTATTCTTGGTCTACTGAAATGCTATACATATAAAATTCAAAGTCAATTGTAAATTTGTATCAAGGAAAAAAACTATTAGGGTATTTGAAGAGTGCTAACAGCAAAAAAAAAAAAAAAAAAAAAAAAAAATGTGCAGCAGGGAAGTCCAAAGGCTTATGCTCCAATTTTGTTAGAACTCTGAAAAACAGTTAAAGATTTAAAGCAACCAAGCAATGCCACATCAATAAAATGTGGCTTGAACACCACAAGAGAACTGTGTGGTATTTTAACTCGGTCTTGCCCCACCCCTTCCTTGAGCACAGTAGCAGTCTTAAAAACAGCAACCCTCATTTTGAGTGGTTCTGGAGAGAGCATAGCAGACATATTCCCAAGAAATTGTGTTACTGTTTTGAGCTCTCTAGAGGTTCCCACTTTTGAGCTCTCTAGAGGTTCCCACTTTTGAGCTCTCTAGAGGTTCACACTAAACTGAGTTAGTTTCACCTAACTCAGAACTCTCCTAGGGAAGAAAAGCAACTAAGTGGAGGGCCTCAAAAGTGTCCCTGTTTGCAGACAACATGATTATATACATATCATATACATAGAAGACTCCACCCAAAAACTTCTTAGAATTAATGAATAAATTCAGTAAAGCTGCAAAATATAAAATCAACATATAAAAATCAGTGGCATGTTTATATACTAGCTGAAAAAAAGAAATCAAGAGACCAATCCCATTTATAATAGCTACAAAATAATATATAAGATACCTAGAAATAAATTTAACCAAGGAGGTGAAAGGTCTCTACAATGAAAATTATAAAATACTGATGAAAGAAATTAAAGAAGACACACACAAAAAAACAAAAGACATCCTATGTTTGTGGATTAGAAGAATTAATATTAATACTGGGCTTAAGCCCAGTATCATTTTGACAGGGATTTCACTGAATCTGCAGATAGCTTTGAGTAGTATGGTCATTTTAACAATATTAATTATTAATACCATGACATTCTTTACAGAAATAGAAAACAAATCCTAAAAATTCATGTGGAACCACAAAAGACCCTAAGTAGCCAAAGCAATCCTAAGCAAAAAGAAGAAAGCTGGAGGCAACACACTATCTGACTTCAAAATATACTACAAAGTTAGCCAGGCATCATGGTTCATGCCTGTAATCCCAGCAGCTTGGGAAGCTGAGGCAAGAGGATCCCTCAAGCCCAGGAGTTCGAGGCTGCAGTGAGCTATGATTGTGCCACTGCACTCCAGCCTGGCCAACAAAGTGAGACCTTGTCTCTTTAAAAAAAAAAAAAAAAGCACACACACACACACACACACATGCAAACACACACACAACATACTCTTCAAAGCTATAGTAGCCACAACAGCATGGTACTGGCACAAAAACAGACACACAGACCAATGGAACCCAATAGAGAACCCAAAAAATAAATCCACTTATTTATAGCCAACAAATTTTCAACAAAAGCACCAAGAACATTGGGAAAAAGACAGTCTTTTCAATAAATGGTGCTGGGAAAACTGGATATCCATAGGCAGAAGAATGAAACTAGACCCCAAAATCTCACCATATGCAAAAATCAGCTCAAAAACAGCTTAAAGCCTTTAATGTAAAACCCAAAACTATGAAACTACTGGAAGGAAACATAGAGGAAATGCTTCAGGACATTGGTCTGAGAAAATATTTTATGCATAGGACCTCAAAAGCATAGGCAACACAAGCAAAAACAGACAAGTGGTATTATATCAAACTAAAAAGCTTCTGCACAGCAAAGGAAACAACCAACAGAGTGAAAAGACAATCTTCAGAATGAAAAAAGATATTTGCAAAAAAAAATTCATCTAACAAGTGATTAATATTCAAAATATATAAGGAACTCAGACAACTCAATGGCAAAAAAAAACTGATTTTAAAATAGGTAAATGGCTTGAATATTTCTCAAAAGAAAGATACACAAATGGCTAAAAAGTATATGAAAAAAATGCTCATCATCACTAATCATCAGGGAAATGTAAATCAAAACCACAATGAGATATCATCTCACCTCAGTTAGAATGGCTATTATCAAAAAGAAAAAAGATAATAAATACTGACAAGGATGCAGAGAAAAGGGAACATATATACACTTTTGGTGGAAATTTAAACTAGTAGAATGATAATGAAAAATAGCATGGAGTCTCCTCAAAAAACTACCAATAGAACTACCATATGATCCAGCAATTCCACTACTGGGTGTATATCCACAGGAAAGGAAATCAGTACACTGAAGAGACATCTGTACTTCCATGTTTATTGCAGCACTAAACTGCAATCGCCAATATATATAATCAACCTAAATGTCCATCAATAGACAAATGAATAAAGAAAATGTGGCATATAGGGGGAATGGACTACTATTCAGCCACTTTCAGTTCCAAAAAAGATTTCACTCTTAATTCCAAAAAAGAATTAAATCCTGTCATTCACAGCAACATGGAAAGCCCTATAGGATATTATATGAAGAGAAATAAGTCAGGAACAGAAAGATAAATATTTCATGTTCTTGCCAATATGCAAATGCTAAAACAAGCTGATCTCATAGAAGCAGAGAGTAGAATCATGATTACTAGAGGTTGGAAAGGGTAGGGGTGAGGGAGGATAGGGAGAGGTTGGTTAAACGATAAAAAATTACAGCTAGATAGGAGAAATAAGTTATAGTGTTCTACAGCACTATAGGGTGACCACAGCTAACAACGGTTTATTATATATATATATATTTTATATATTTTGAATGTTCCCACCACAAGGAAATGCTAGGTGTTTGACGTGATGAATATGCTAATTACTCTGATTTGACCACTACCCATTGTATGTATCAAAATATCGCTATGTACCCCATAAATATGTATAATTATTACATGCCAATTTAAATACTATTGCCAGAAAAAGCAATAAATTAAGTGTATTCTATTATATGAAAAAAAAGACAATTGCAACAATTCCACTGTAGTCTTACATTTTACTCATAGCTAATTGATAAGGCTTATGGTACTAAACCATGATTGTGTGGTCATTCTCTGTAATGGCCAATCATTCTCTCTTTGATGCTGATTGCCACAACCTTACTATTTATTAACTACCTTGTAACTACTTACATGCTCTTAATGAGGGAATATGGCAGATTCATTAAGATTCACACAACTATTGAAGAATTAATTCAAAGTTCATGTCTTATTTGTGGTGGTTCAGTGGCATAATCTTTGCATTTGGGCATAGTAAAAACCCTTGATGATGATTAAAAAAAAAGAATAAAAAATAAATAAATAATGTTTTCCAATGCCATTTATAATTTCTTAAGACACTGAATCTAGATTAATGTTGGCTGACTGGATAGCAGATTCAATTTTCAACAACCAGTACAAGTTTGATATTTTATACTTGACAGTATATACAGAATACATACATTTTGTTCTTCTTTAAGTGCTTCTTCTAGCTGAGCTGCAAATTGCGAACAATATGTCAAGAATGAATTCATATCATCCCCAACCTTTTGAAAAGAATAATAAAACATAAAGTTACATTTAAGAATCCATATGCATGTCTGTCTTTTTCTAGCATATTTACTTTTTGAAAAATTTTAATTTTGTGTAATTTATGTCCCTTCAAACATTTACAGCAAGAAGCCATGCTTCAAATGCCATACTAGCAAATTCTCCCAAAGAAAAAATATGAAAGAAAGTACACTTTGGGAAGTGGCCCATCAGTGACATATACCCAGCCATGTCTCTCCTCTCATTCATCTCTACACAGTTCCAGAAAATCCAGCATCCCAGCCTCATAGTACTGAAATTTCTGGGTGGCCCAATAAAAGGTAATCATTACCATAAAAAAAAAAATCTCTTGGTGTTAGAAAATGACTACTACCTATGATACCTAACTGTATAATTGCCATGAACTGCAGTCTTCTGCTCTCACCTAATGGGCAATACACAACTTTGAGGAAAAAATAGTTACAGCTTAAATGTCATAACGATCAAATCCCTTCTAGTAAAGCAGTGATTCGTAAATCAGAGAATTGACTCATGATAAACAAATATTACAGGCTTATATACAGTTAGGATTTTCATAGAGTGGTTCTCCATGAAGAATATATTCCCTGAGCATTACATTTAAAGATACTGAGCCAGGCGCGGTGGCTCACACCTGTAATCCTAGCACTTTGGGAGGCTGAGGCAGTTGGATCACTTGAGGTCAGGAGTTCAAGACCAGCCTGGCCAGCATGGCAAAATCCCGTCTCTACTAAAAAGACAAAAAAATTAGCTGGGCGAGGCGCCGCACACCGGTAATCCCAGCTACGTGGGTGGCTGAGGCACGAAAAGCGCTTGAATCCAGGAGGCAGCAGTTCCAGTGAGCCAAGATCACACCACTGCACTCCAGCCTAGGTGACACAGCGAGACTCTGTCTCAAAAAAATAAAAATAAAATAAAATAAATAAATAAATAAATAAATAAATAAATATGCTGAGAGGCTCACATACTTCTTGTCACAATAAAGACCTATAATCATATAGGAGACGGGGAAAAAAAACTAAATCATCCAGCAGAGAGGAAAATGAACAGATTAGTGTTACTAATCACAAATATAAAGAGAAACTATTAGCCTACTTCTTCCACCCACATTCAGGTGCCACAAATATAGAGAAGATAGAGAAATACAGAGAAGATAGAAATTGATTTGACCAAGTTTATAATGTAACCAAATGAGACCAATAAAGCAGAACAGGGCAAGAGAGTTAAGTACGTGTGAAAGGGAGTGATGATAATAGTGGACCATGCTATTTAAGCTGGGTAAGTAAGGGCACAAGGAGGATTTCGGACACTAAAAAGGCAGCAAGACCAATGGATTATGTTTCCCTGTGAAATCAAAGGATTTTTGGAGACAGAATATTGGACAGACTGAGTGGGAAAGACAGGAGGTGGTGGCCACAGATTAGGATGACTGAAATTCAAATTATGAAACAGTTATGGTAAGGACTACAGGATATCACTTTGTCCATTAGTGGTTGATGTGAAATAAAATACAAGATCATTGGAGGAAAGAAATTCAGTAAAATAAAGGGGATATCCGAAGGGCTGATTTCTTCAATTTTGTCAGTATTGGAGACCACAGGAAAGTGAACTTAATTTCATTTTATTTTATTTTTTTGGTGGTTTTTTTTTTAACTTTTGTTTTAGATTTAGTGGGTACATGTGCAGGTTTGTTACCTGGATATACTGCGTGATGCTGAGGTTTGGGGTACCAATGATCCCGTCACCCAAGTACTGAGCACAGTACCCGATAGCTAGTTTTTCAACCCTTACCCCGCCTCCCTCCCACCTCTAGTCATCCCAGTTTCTATTGGACTTCAATTTCAGATTTTAGTTTTGGTTCTTTGATTCATTCCTGGCAGGGCTTCAAAACATAATAACCACAAGGTCATGCAGGATAAGGATTGTGATTACATAGTCCTTTTAATAGTTGGGTAATCACCACCACAATAAAAATATAAAACATTTCCATCATTTCAAAAAGCTTCACTGTACTCCTTTGCAGTCAATTCTCCCCTCCTACCTTAGCTCAAGACAAACACTGGTCCTTTACTACAGTTTTCCCTTTCCCAGAATTTCATATAAATAGAATCATATGATATGTAGCCTTATTTATTTAGCTTCCCCACATCCTAATGTTTTTGAGATTCATCTACATTGTTCTATGTGTCAGTAGTTTGTTCCCTTTATTGTGAAGAGTATTTCATTGTATGCTATACCACAATTTGCTTATCCATTCACCAGTTAGTAAATATTTGGGTTGCTGGATTCAGTAGCTATTCTGGCAGTTACGAACGAAACTTCTATAAACATTTATATACAAGACTTTGTGAGGATGTATGTGTTCATTAATCTTGGATAACCACTTAAGAGTGGAATTGGTGGTTATCTTTTAAGTATATGTTAAACTTTGTGAGCAGCTGTCAAACTGTTTCTCAACATAGCAGTACCATTTGTGTTCCCACCAGCTCTGTATGAGAGTTCCTGTGGCCCCATATCTTTACTAAAATGTGATTATTCTCTATCTTTAAAATGTTGGTCATTCCTAATGGGTATGTAGAACTCCTTTTCTGCAAACTTCTTGGCAAAATTCAGGTCAAGAGGGATTTGGTTGGGTTGAGTAATTTTCTAAGAGGATCATTTTCATGGATGGGAAATTCATTCTGAGGATATAATAAGTACTCCAAAAGAAAATATTTTAAATTTATATTTTTAAAAAGAAAATCGACCCTTTTCAGTGTTAATGTCTCTATATTAGGGTTGCATATACTTACAGATAAAGATAATTCTTCATGTTCATGCTTTACAAATGGTTCTTCTCCATTCTGATCGCAATGTCCATAGGTTTCTTCCAAAGTGGAAACAACCTGTAAAAAAAAAATAAAAGCCAATTAGATACTTTAATAGTTTAAAATTAATTATATTAAATGTAAATAATATTTAATCAATTATGCCAGGACCTTTTTACCAGTAAGACTTATTTCTTCCAGTGCCATAAACTTAAATTTTTCATCCCATACCCAATTTCATGTCATCATGAGGAGAAAGCAATATTCCTTAACCCTACTCCCTAGCAATAGAGAGATGCTCTATGACTCTACCATTTCTGTGTTGATAGCTATCTTAAAACGGAGAGGGCCTGTCCATGAGTGGTTGAAGCATTAAGTAGAGTTTTCCTCAAAGTCTGCCTTGACTTTCTCCTCTGAAGAGAGTTAGGGGAAATAGAAAGATGGAGACCAGAAAGCAATGAATTTTTAAAGAAAATTATCTGGCCTAACCCCTCAAACTTTCAACAAACTTGTACTGTACAAGTTTGATGTACTATATATTTTTTTATATTTGTGCTCTTCCTCATTGTTATTTGGTACATTTACAATTCAATTCTGGATTGCAGTGAAAAAAATAGAAACTCAGAGAAAGGAAATTTTTTCCCCACATCAAGAGCTAAAGTTTCAGCCAGGCATGGTGCTCATGCCTGTAATCCCAGCACTTTGGGAGGCCAAGGCGGGTGGATCACCTGAGGTCAAGAGTTTAAGACCAGCCTGACCAGTATGGTGAAACCCCATCTCTACTAAAAGTACAAAAATTAGCCAGGCATGGTGGCATGCTCCTGTAGTCCCAGCTACTCGGGAGACTGAGACAGGAAAATTGCTTGAAACCTGGAGGCAGAATTTGCAGTGAGCCAAGATCATGCCACGGCACTCCAGCCTGGGCGAAAGAGCGAGACTTCATCTCAAGAAACGAAAAAAGAGCTAAAGTTTCTGAAATGCAGAGTTTAACATAGTAGAAATGCAGGACTTAGGAAGGCCTGCTTGCAAGGTTGGCCTTAACCTGGCATCTGAGATCCTGGATTTCAGGAGGGTTCTCCCCATTCACTGATAGAAGCAGCTCACTGTCCCTAAACTGTTTGTATAACATTGTTTATACTGAACCTCCTTTCCTTGTGAGAGTCTGAAATTTTCGTACATGCTAAGCACAGAGTGAATAGTAAACAACCCCCAATAAATCCCAGGGCACTGAGTTTCTAATGATTTTCCCTGGCAGACATTTCATATGTGTTGTCACAATTCATTGCTAAAGAAATTAAGCATCTCCTGGGTGACTCTAAAGGGAAAAGACTCTTGCAAGCTTAGATCTGGTTTTCTCCTAATTTCACCTCATGTGCCTACTGTAATAAATCTTAGCCATCGGTATGACTATATGTGGAGTCATGTGAGTCCTCCTAGCACATCACTAAACCTGGGGTGATCATGGGGGCCCTGCAACACAGAAACTAACAAGCCTCTTACCATCTTCAGATGTTTGATAATTTTTCCGATCATTTCATCTTCTGGTAGTAAGTTCTTTGTCTTACTCGATGGAATGGGCAAAGCATACCGTAAAATGGATTCTCCTGTTGGTGGAGATCTTAGGACCATTGGTTCAATTTTATCATGAATTAATTTTGCATTATGTTTTTCCTTTAGCTCAGGTGATAATGGTAAATTATGTAGTCCTTTTTTAGTAGTTAATGCTGGAACATTTGCCGATTTGTTACTGGTGGTCAACAGATGCTTTACTGGTTTCATTTTGTTACTGACTTGGCTTCCAAATTACAGATGAAAAAAACTTATTCCTCCCTGTGAAAAAAAATAAGAGATTCAGAGAAAACACCAGGCTCTAATTAAATTCACATACTACATTTCTCTTTTTCTGATGGCTTTAGCAATTTGCTCAGAGTACATTAAGCAACTTCTGGAAGCTATGATTACACTTCAGGCTTTTTTGAGTCACAGTAACTTAAACAAAACGAAGAAATATAGAATGCAGTTATCACAATATCTAATTTATATCAATAAGTTATTTAAACTTAAGCATAATAACAGTAAAAGCTCCATAATTTTTAATCTAAGGTATGCCCTTTATATACATCATTATTCCATTTTACATGGGAGTAGAGTAAACTGAGCTCAGACAAGTTAAGTGACTAACCAAGAGTCACACAGCTAGTAAGTGTTAAATTTTTCAGAATTACAACATAGGTCAAATTGGCTACAAATCTTGCTTCTTTTCTATACCCTTTGCTCTCCATAAGGAAAATGTTGGATTATTTTACCTATAGGACTTATAGCATTTCCTGCAAGTAAGGAGGGTTGTAGATGAAAACATTTCAGATTTAAAATGATAAAAGGATTATCAATTGCTATGAAGATGGCAAATCCCAAAATCAACTCTGAAAAAATGAAAAATAGAAAGGAAAATATTCCTAACAACAGAAAACAACAAGAACAAAAAATTTTTTAACTTAAGAAACCCCTAAACAAAGGCTCATTTGTTTATGGGGCATTTAGAATGGGAATATACGGACTGAAGAAGCCAGAAGCAACGAGAGAATACATTCAGGAAAAAGAAAAATTACAATTTCTTCCTATCTTTCCCCCATATTTGAGCTAATATATGTCCTTAATATACATCTTTATTCCCACAGGAGCAGTAGCCTTGGCCCAAGGTATCATTAGTGTAATATTAAGGCAGCATCAAAGCTATGCTAAGATAAGGAAGTATAAACTAGATAGGTCTTGGGCTTTTATTCCTCTATTTTTCTCTCCCCTCAAAGCTAAGACTCAGGACAATGCCACCTCCCAAATAGTGTTAAGAGTATATGCCTAACCGTGGGAATTGTCAGGTACAATGGCAAAATTAAGATAGAGTAATGTAACACTGGTACTCTGTTATCTGAAGCTCTCTACACTTTGGCTTGTCCCATTGTTATGTGTTGAACTGTGTCCCTGAAAAAGATATGTTCAAGTCCTAAGCCCCCAGCACTTTGAATGTGACCTTACTTGAAAATAGGGTCTTTGCAGATATGACAAAGTTAAGATGTGGTCATACTGAATTAAGGTGGGTCCTAAATCCAATTACTGGTGTCACTATAAGAAGACCATATAGCGACAGGCAGAAATTAAAGTGATGCAGCTGCAAGCTAAGGAATATCAAGGATTGCTAGCATCCACCAGAAGCTTGTAAAAACCAATGAAAGATTCTTCCCTAGAGCCCTTAGCAGGGAACATGGTTTTGCTGAAACCTTGATTTCAGTTTTCTGGCCTCCAGAACCATGAAAGAATAAATTTCTGTTGTTCTAAGCCACCCACTTTGTGGTACTTTGTTACAGCAGCACTAGTGTCTTAGTCTGTTGAGGCTGCTATAACAAAACACTATAAATTGCATAGCTTATAAACAAGAAACATTTATTTCTCACAGTTCTGGAGATTGGAAAGTCCAACGACAAGGCACCAGCAGAGTTGGTGTCTGATGAAAGCCCAGACGCTAAATAAATGTTGCCTACTCTCTGTGTCCTCACATGATGGAAGGAGCAAGGGAGCTTTTTCAGACCTCTTTTATAAGGGCAGTAGTCCCATTTATGAGGGTGCTGCACTCATAACCTAATCACCTCCTAAAGGCCCCACCTCCTAATTCTACCATATGTTGAATTGGGTCCCAATTTCAACATGCGAATTTGGGGATGACACAAGCATTCAGACCACAGGAAATATTTAGCACTTCGAAAACAAATACACCCACATACTTTCCCTAACTTCCAGGAGGAACACAGGCTGAGAACTGGCTTTTGATCATTTCCTAATAATAGATTACCAGACAAACAGGGGACACCCCCAGGGGTATATGAGCTCACAGGCCAAAACAACTTGACAACGGAAAAAAAAACCATTAAAAAATAAAAAATAGGCCAGGCGCATTGGCTCACGCCTGTAATCCCAGTACTTTGGGAGGCAGAGGCGGGTGGATCCCAAGGTCAGGAGTTCGAGACCAGCCTGGCCAATATGGTAAAACCCTGTCTCTATTAAAAATACAAAAAATTATCCAGGCGTGGTGGTGGGCACCTGTAGTCTCAGCTACTCGGGAGGCTGAGGCAGGAGAATCGCTTGAACTCGGAGGTAGAGGTTGCAGTGAGCAGAGACTGCACCACTGCACTCCAGCCTGGGGGATGGAGTAAGACTCCATCTCAAATAAATAAATAAATATAAAAATAATAAACTAAAAAACATGTTTTAGTTGTAGAATCATTAAAACAGAGAGACTAAAAATACATAAACACACAGAAAGAGAATATCAGCCATATGAAACAGGTATAAGAGGAATTTTTAAGACCCAAGTGAAGATATTAAAAAATGAAAAATATAACAGATAAAACAACACGAGTAATCACAAAATAATACTGCTGAAGAATAAAAACTGATGCAAAGAATAAAATCAGTGGAGGAATAATCCAGCTGAAGAATAAAAAATAATGCAAAGATCAGCAGCATTTATCACATATTCCTGAACATTAATAAAATACACATCAATAGTGATAAGTATTAAAAGCTAGTATCAGGTTTGAAAAAAATATAAATAATTAGCAATTCTACTGAAAATGAGAAAATAAAGGCCTATATATTTGTTAATAACAATAAACATGATTCAATTTTTGGAGAAGCAGTATCTAATGTTCAGAAGATCATCCGATATATATGAAGAGACCAATAATAGGATTTTTTTTATTTGCCAGAAACCATGGCAAAAGTTGATGGTATCCTGTTAGCACATTTATGCAAAACATAAATATCAATACCAAATAGTATAACATACTATTTTAGAGAATAAAATATAAAAACAAATAATAAAACTTACAGATGTTATAAATAAAACCACTTTGAATAAAGTTTTAAAAACTAATAATTTCTCAATTATTTTGGACATATGGACAGCAGATAACAATTGTTGATGTAATTATGGATTTCCAAAATGCAGATATTTCAATATGTGAACATTTATTAGGATTTTAACAAGTAGATGACACCCCGCTGGAAAAGAATCATATATATGTGTAAGAGACTACTCATAAAAAATTAAAATTAAAAATATATAATATATATGGGGCCAGGGATACATGCCCTTAAATATGTCTGACAAGCACAAACAGAAAATTCTCAAAAATAAAAATTCTAAACTAGGTTGTGAACAATAGAACGAAAATATCTTAATAGCACTGAAAATGTTTATTTCATCCAAGAATTATACAACTGCTTTTTTGTTTCGATGAAACACTATAGTTAACACTATAGTTAACTGAATGCATAGTTGCCAAGCATAATTTTTAAATCATAATCAAATATGACTTTGCAAAAATAACTTGTCACTAAAAATCCATTTGAAGGAAGAACACAATGCTCTCTTGGAAATTACTGATGATAATAGTAAATAAACACATTATAGAACTTGAACCAAAGCCCCTGCAAAATATTCCCTTTTACATTTTTCGTTTTTTTGAGACAGAGTTTCGCTCTTGTCGCCCAGGCTGGAGTACAATGGCACAATCTTGCTCACTGCAAACTTTGCCTCCCAGGTTCAAGCGATTCTCCTGCCTCAGCCTCCCAAGTAGCTGGGATTACAGGTGCCCACTGCCACGTCCGGCTAATTTTTGTATTTTTAATAGTGACAGGGTTTCACCACGTTGGCCAAGCTGGTCTCGAACTTCTGACCTCAGGTGATCCTCCCACCTCAGCCTCCCAAAGTGCTGGGATTACACGCCTGAGCCACTGTGCGCCCTGCTCCCTTTTACATTTTTCTCATGCCGATTGTGACACGATGCTTTCAGTAAAAATTAATGATACAAGCAAAATGATGCAGAAACCAAGATTAAATTTACAAAATTGAAAAGCCTCAAAAGAATTCTGAATAAATTACATTGCCAAAGAAACTCCATCAAAACCTTCAGGTCCAAGCAAACATCAAAAATTCCATCAAAACCATCAGGACCAGGAAACAGGACGTAAGAAGAGTGGCCAATGAGCCAATAAGTAAAACCAAAAGGTTATATATACATAGAAAGCAAGGAAAAGAAAATATCACCAAGGACCGAGTGATGAACTACGTCAAATGCTGAGTCAAGTAAAATGAAGACTAAGCTGACACTGGATTTGGCAACATGGAGGTAGGTCATTTGTAACCTGAAGAACGGCAACAATTTCAGTAGAATGATCGAGGTAAATATCTGACTTACCGTTCAAAAGAGAGGAAGTAGGAACAATGAATTGAATATAAGCACTGTAGAGAAATTTTACTATAAAAGGGAGTAAAGAAATACAGTATTACTAGAAGAAAACATGGTCAAGAGGAAAGTTCGATGGAAAAAAGAACAAGTGTATATGCTGTTATGGATTGCATTGTGTCCTCTCTCCCCAAAAAAGTGTGAGGGAGGGAGGGAGGGAGGGAGGGAGGGAGGAAGGGAAGAGGGGAAGGAAGGAAGGGAGGGAGGGAGGGAGGCAGGCAGGCAGGCAGGCAGGCAACGCTCACTTGGTGCAAAAAAAAAGAACCTGACAAATGCTCCGATGAAGTTCACATAAATACAAAAATAGTCACACGCAATGAATACTCGTATTAGCAAGCAAATATTTAAGGACTTTACATATTTAATTCATTTATCCCTCCTAACAATGCTAGGAAGTGGATGTCAGCATTACTTCGCCCAAGTGCATCCGTCCCTTTCCGCCACCACGACAAATGTTTTCTGGTTTCATCCTTCAAGGATTAACTTACATTCATTTCAAATCCTTTAATGATAAAGTGTACAAAATAGAGGAGAGCGGCAGGGGTTGGCAGGGGACGTAGGGAAAGGATGATTTGCCTTCGATCCTACATCCTGCATAAAAAGCAGCACAACCGCCACGGAGGCAGCCAGGCAGCGGGAAAACTAAGTGCAAAGCCAGGACTCTCCCGAAACCCTCAGGTCCTGCTAAGGGAGCCGCTCCCGAGGCTCCCCGCCCTGTGTACCTGCTGAGACTGTGGGAAGTCGGGTGACTGGGCGGTTTGGCCTTGCTGGCTCTAAGGTGAAAAACTATTTGCCTGAGGAAGATGACAATTCCGAGCCTGCCAGACTTCCTTCGAGACGGAAGCCTGAAAACTCCTCAGACTCCAGCACCTCCCTTTTACAAACTGACGTTTGTGCTGAAAGAAAAGGCCCGGCCTCTGCGCCCCCGGGCGGCAGCAAAGACCGCCGGGCACCCGCCGCCGGCGCCGGATGGGGCCGTTGAAGCCACGTCCCAGGCGCCCGACGCCACGACGCCTTGGCGCCGCCGGCGTCGCTGACGCTGCGAGCGTGAGCTGCGCGCCGAGAGCGGAAGAGGAGACGCAGTTTGGCGGCTGTGGGGATTTGCCGGAAGGTTAATAATGTCCATGGGCACATCGGCCTCCTCCTTTCTTATTCTCTCCCAAGTGTAATTCCAGGACGCCCCCTGAGCGCAGATTCATCCAGGCATTTGGCCTAGAGGCCCGCGGAGGAGAAATAAAGTACAGGCCTGGTAGGACCTTTGAGAACCTGGGCTTCAGCTACAAAACCAGAGCCCCAGTCCTTCATCTGCTGTCTCCTCAAGCTCTTTTCAGTGTATTGTGGAGTTCATTACCACTCTAAGCTCGCACGGAAGTGTACACCAGCTTCGTGATCTTAAAAGCAAAACAAAATCAAATGGACTAGGAATTAACTTGAAGCAGAGTTGTGACACTTAAGTGGTTTCTTGCCATCAGTTTCCACGCACTGCTTTAAGATGCAATTTTACAAGGTAGAGTTTTTTAGATAATTTGACCTCAAGAAATATATTAATTTTGTCTTTAAGTTGAACGAAGTAAAATGTTTTTAATATTTTAAAATATTAATTGATACAATTTAACTGTTAATAATGCCTGTGTGTAAATGAAAGGAATAGGAAAGATGGAACTAAAACTAAAAACCAGGAGGTTTAAAGGAGACCTTAGATTTGACTTAGTAGATTTCAACTATTTTCTAAAACTCTGAAAATTCATTATATCTAATTATTTCTAATTTTCCAGTAAAATCTGAATGCCTCACAAGAGATTCCTGAAAATTTATCAGCTCCCAAGAGCTGGTGTAGGCTAGCTCCATCACACCACTAGGAGTTACCATTGGGGTTGCCTGGAAAGGGAAAACAACACATCTTCTGGTGTACCAGAAATGTTCTGTCTTCTGCTCTTTCTGGGTGTGTTCAAAAATTCATGAAGGCAGGCTGGGCGTGGTGGCTCGCACCTGTAATCCCAGCACTTTGGGAGCCTGAGGCAGTGCATCACTCGAGGTCAGGAGTTCGAGACTAGCCTGGCCAACATGGTGAAACCCCATCTCTACTAAAAATACAAAAATTAGCCGGGCGTGATGGCGGGTGCCTGTAATCCCAGCTACTTAGGAGGCTGAGGCAGGAGAATCACTTGAACCCAGGAGGTGGAGGTTGCAGTGAGCCGAGATTGTGCCATTGCGCTCCAGCCTGGGCAACAGAGCGAGACTCCATCTAAAAAAGAAAAAAAAAAAAAAACATGAAGGCATATGCTTATTTATGCACTTTTCAGTATGTGTGTTTTATGTCAGTAACAAAGAAAATGTACATATAAATGATCAGATTTATTAAGCTTTCCACCAACAATTTTTTATTTTTTAAAGTTGGCAATAAAATTAAGAAAGTAGTTTAGAAAGAATTGAATTGCTAAATTCCAAATCTCCCAAAACCGTTGTAAATGAAAGGGATAGGAAAGATAGAACTAAAAGTCAGGAGAGATTAAAGAAGACCTTAGATTTGACAAAGCCAATTTCAGTTATTTTCTAGAACCCTGAAAATAGATTACATCTAGTCATTTCTAATTTTGTTGGTAAAATCTTAACGGTCAAGTTGTCAAGTTAGCATACATTAGCAAAACTCTCAGCATGAGTCTAGCCAAAAGTTCACCATTCATATCTGTGGCCTTAATAGCACAGCTAAGAACCACAGAAAAGTTATCAGTGCTGACAATGTAAAGCAAAGAAGTTTAAAAAGTTAATAAATTTAAGCATGTAATATCAAATTTTGCAGTGGTTTGAGTCTGTGACATGAATCGATTATTCTTTGAAAACAAACAATACTTATGAATAG